>NC_000016.10:37269487-37462450 GCF_000001405.40 Homo sapiens
TAAAAACAAGACAAACTCGTTCCCAGACACTGCGTAGTGATGTGTGTGTTTAACTCACAGAGTTTCACCTTTCTTTTCATACAGCATTCTGGAAACCCTCTGTTTGTAAAGTCTGCAAGTGGATATTTGGACCTCTTAGATGCCTTCGTTGGAAACGGGATTTCCTCATATAATGCTAGAGGGAAGAATTCTTAGTAACTTCTTTGTGTTGTGTGTATTCAACTGACAGAGTTGAACCTTCCTTTAGACAGAGCAGATTTGAAAGTCTCTTTTTGTGGAATTTGCAAGTGGAGATTTCAAGCGCTTTGAGGCCAAAAGCAGAAAAGGAAATATTTTCCTATAAAAACTCGACAGAATCTTTCTCAGAAACTGCTCTGGGATGTGTGCGTTCAACTCACAGAGTTTAACTTTTCTTTTCATTCAGCAGTTTGGAAACACTCTGTTTGGAAAGTCTGCACGTGGATATTTTGACCTCTTTGAGGCCTTCGTTGGAAACGGGTTTTTTTCATGTAAGGCTAGACAGAAGAAATCTCAGTAACTTCCTTGTGTTGTGTGTATTCAACTGACAGAGTTGAACCTTCCTTTAGACAGAGCAGATTCGAAACACTCTTTTTCTGCAATTTGCAAGTGGAGACTTCAAGCGCTTTGAGGCCAAAGGCAGAAAAGGAAATATCTTCGTATAAAAACCCGACAGAATCATTCTCAGAAACTGCTCTGTGATGTGTGCGTTCAACTCACAGGAGTTTAACTTTTCTTTTCATTCAGCAGTTTGGAAACACTCTGTTTGTAAAGTCTGCAAGTGGATATCTTGGCCTCTTAGAGGCCTTCGTTGGAAGCGGGTTTTTTCATGTAAGGTTAGACAGAGGAATTCCCACTAACTTCCTTGTGTTGTGTGCATTCAACTCACAGAGTTGAATGATTCTTTACACAGAGCAGATTTGAGACACTCTTTTGGTGGAATTTGTAAGTGGAGAATTCAGCCGCTTTGAGGTCAACGGTAGAAAAGGAAATATCTTCGTATAAAAACTAGACAGAATGATTCTCAGAAACTGTTTTGTGATGTGTGCGTTCAACTCACAGAGTTTAACCTTTCTTTTCAAAGAGCAGTTAGGAAACACTCTGTTTGTAAAGTCTGCAAGTGGATATTCAGACCTCTTTGAGGCCTTCGTTGGAAACGGGATTTCTTCATATTATGCTAGACAGATGAATTCTCAGTAACTTCCTTGTGTTGTGTGTATTCAACTCACAGAGTTGAACGATCCTTTACACAGAGCAGATTTGAAACACTGTTTTTCTGGAATTTGCAAGTGGAGATTTCAGCCGCTTTGAGGTCAATGGTAGAAAAGGAAATATCTTCGTATAAAAACTAGACAGAATGATTCTCAGAAACTCCTTTGTGATGTGTGCGTTCAACTCACAGAGTTTAACCTTTCTTTTCACAGAGCAGTTAGGAAACACTCTGTTTGTGAAGCCTGCCAGTGGATATTCGGACCTCTTTGAGGCCTTCGTTGGAAACGGGATTTCTTCATATTTTGCTAGACAGAAGATTTCTCAGTAACTTCTTTGTGTTGTGTGTATGCAACTCACAGAGTTCAACCTTCCTTTAGACAGAGCAGATTTGAAACACTCTTTTTGTGGAATTTGCAAGTGGAAATTTCAAGCGCATCGATGCCAATGGTAGAAAAGGAAATATCTTCGTATAAAAACAAGACAAACTCGTTCCCAGACACTGCGTAGTGATGTGTGTGTTTAACTCACAGAGTTTAACCTTTCTTTTCATACAGCATTCTGGAAACCCTCTGTTTGTAAAGTCTGCAAGTGGATATTTGGACCTCTTAGATGCCTTCGTTGGAAACGGGATTTCCTCATATAATGCTAGAGGGAAGAATTCTTAGTAACTTCTTTGTGTTGTGTGTATTCAACTGACAGAGTTGAACCTTCCTTTAGACAGAGCAGATTTGAAAGTCTCTTTTTGTGGAATTTGCAAGTGGAGATTTCAAGCGCTTTGAGGCCAAAAGCAGAAAAGGAAATATTTTCTAATAAAAACTAGACAGAATCTTTCTCAGAAACTGCTCTGGGATGTGTGCGTTCAACTCACAGAGTTTAACTTTTCTTTTCATTCAGCAGTTTGGAAACACTCTGTTTGGAAAGTCTGCACGTGGATATTTTGACCTCTTTGAGGCCTTCGTTGGAAACGGGTTTTTTTCATGTAAGGCTAGACAGAAGAAATCTCAGTAACTTCCTTGTGTTGTGTGCATTCAGTTGACAGGGTTGAACCTTCCTTTAGACAGAGCAGATTCGAAACACTCTTTTTCTGCAATTTGCAAGTGGAGACTTCTAGCGCATTGAGGCCAAAGGCAGAAAAGGAAATATCTTCGTATAAAAACCCGACAGAATCTTTCTCAGAAACTGCTCTGTGATGTGTGCGTTCAACTCACAGAGTTTAACTTTTCTTTTCTTTCAGCAGTTTGGAAACACTCTCTTTGTAAAGTCTGCAAGGGGATATATTGGCCTCTTAGAGGCCTTCGTGGGAAACGGGTTTTTTTCATGTAAGGTTAGACAGAGGAATTCCCAGTAACTTCCTTGTGTTGTGTGCATTCAACTCACAGAGTTGAATGATTCTTTACACAGAGCAGATTTGAGACACTCTTTTGGTGGAATTTGTTAGTGGAGAATTCAGCCGCTTTGAGGTCAATGGTAGAAAAGGAAATATCTTCGTATAAAAACTAGACAGAATGATTCTCAGAAACTGTTTTGTGATGTGTGCTTTCAACTCACAGAGTTTAACCTTTCTTTTCAAAGAGCAGTTAGGAAACACTCTGTTTGTAAAGTCTGCAAGTGGATATTCAGACCTCTTTGAGGCCTTCGTTGGAAACGGGATTTCTTCATATTATGCTAGACAGATGAATTCTCAGTAACTTCCTTGTGTTGTGTGTATTCAACTCACAGAGTTAAACGATCCTTTACACAGAGCAGATTTGAAACACTGTTTTTCTGGAATTTGCAAGTGGAGATTTCAGCCGCTTTGAGGTCAATGGTAGAAAAGGAAATATCTTCGTATAAAAACTAGACAGAATGATTCTCAGAAACTCCTTTGTGATGTGTGCGTTCAACTCACAGAGTTTAACCTTTCTTTTCACAGAGCAGTTAGGAAACACTCTGTTTGTGAAGCCTGCCAGTGGATATTCGGACCTCTTTGAGGCCTTCGTTGGAAACGGGATTTCTTCATATTATGCTAGACAGAAGATTTCTCAGTAACTTCTTTGTGTTGTGTGTATGCAACTCACAGAGTTCAACCTTCCTTTAGACAGAGCAGATTTGAAACACTCTTTTTGTGGAATTTGCAAGTGGAGATTTCAAGCGCTTCGATGCCAATGGTAGAAAAGGAAATATCTTCGTATAAAAACAAGACAAACTCGTTCCCAGACACTGCGTAGTGATGTGTGTGTTTAACTCACAGAGTTTAACCTTTCTTTTCATACAGCATTCTGGAAACCCTCTGTTTGTAAAGTCTGCAAGTGGATATTTGGACCTCTTAGATGCCTTCGTTGGAAACGGGATTTCTTCATATAATGCTAGAGGGAAGAATTCTTAGTAACTTCTTTGTGTTGTGTGTATTCAACTGACAGAGTTGAACCTTCCTTTAGACAGAGCAGATTTGAAAGTCTCTTTTTGTGGAATTTGCAAGTGGAGATTTCAAGCGCTTTGAGGCCAAAAGCAGAAAAGGAAATATTTTCCTATAAAAACTAGACAGAATCATTCTCAGAAACTGCTCTGTGATGTGTGTGTTCAACTCACAGAGTTTAACTTTCTTTTCATTCAGCAGTTTGGAAACACTCTGTTTGGAAAGTCTGCACGTGGATATTTTGACCTCTTTGAGGCCTTCGTTGGAAACGGGTTTTTTTCATGTAACGCTAGACAGAAGAAATCTCAGTAACTTCCTTGTGTTGTGTGTATTCAACTGACAGAGTTGAACCTTCCTTTAGACAGAGCAGATTCGAAACACTCTTTTTCTGCAATTTGCAAGTGGAGACTTCAAGCGCTTTGAGGCCAAAGGCAGAAAAGGAAATATCTTCGTATAAAAACCCGACAGAATCATTCTCAGAAACTGCTCTGTGATGTGTGCGTTCAACTCACAGAGTTTAACTTTTCTTTTCATTCAGCAGTTTGGAAACACTCTGTTTGTAAAGTCTGCAAGTGGATATCTTGGCCTCTTAGAGGCCTTCGTTGGAAACGGGTTTTTTCATGTAAGGTTAGACAGAGGAATTCCCAGTAACTTCCTTGTGTTGTGTGCATTCAACTCACAGAGTTGAATGATTCTTTACACAGAGCAGATTTGAGACACTCTTTTGGTGGAATTTGTAAGTGGAGAATTCAGCCGCTTTGAGGTCAACGGTAGAAAAGGAAATATCTTCGTATAAAAACTAGACAGAATGATTCTCAGAAACTGTTTTGTGATGTGTGCGTTCAACTCACAGAGTTTAACCTTTCTTTTCAAAGAGCAGTTAGGAAACACTCTGTTTGTAAAGTCTGCAAGTGGATATTCAGACCTCTTTGAGGCCTTCGTTGGAAACGGGATTTCTTCATATTATGCTAGACAGATGAATTCTCAGTAACTTCCTTGTGTTGTGTGTATTCAACTCACAGAGTTGAACGATCCTTTACACAGAGCAGATTTGAAACACTGTTTTTCTGGAATTTGCAAGTGGAGATTTCAGCCGCTTTGAGGTCAATGGTAGAAAAGGAAATATCTTCGTATAAAAACTAGACAGAATGATTCTCAGAAACTCCTTTGTGATGTGTGCGTTCAACTCACAGAGTTTAACCTTTCTTTTCACAGAGCAGTTAGGAAACACTCTGTTTGTGAAGCCTGCCAGTGGATATTCGGACCTCTTTGAGGCCTTCGTTGGAAACGGGATTTCTTCATATTATGCTAGACAGAAGATTTCTCAGTAACTTCTTAGTGTTGTGTGTATGCAACTCACAGAGTTCAACCTTCCTTTAGACAGAGCAGATTTGAAACACTCTTTTTGTGGAATTTGCAAGTGGAGATTTCAAGCGCTTCGATGCCAATGGTAGAAAAGGAAATATCTTCGTATAAAAACAAGACAAACTCGTTCCCAGACACTGCGTAGTGATGTGTGTGTTTAACTCACAGAGTTTAACCTTTCTTTTCATACAGCATTCTGGAAACCCTCTGTTTGTAAAGTCTGCAAGTGGATATTTGGACCTCTTAGATGCCTTCGTTGGAAACGGGATTTCTTCATATAATGCTAGAGGGAAGAATTCTTAGTAACTTCTTTGTGTTGTGTGTATTCAACTGACAGAGTTGAACCTTCCTTTAGACAGAGCAGATTTGAAAGTCTCTTTTTGTGGAATTTGCAAGTGGAGATTTCAAGCGCTTTGAGGCCAAAAGCAGAAAAGGAAATATTTTCCTATAAAAACTAGACAGAATCATTCTCAGAAACTGCTCTGTGATGTGTGTGTTCAACTCACAGAGTTTAACTTTCTTTTCATTCAGCAGTTTGGAAACACTCTGTTTGGAAAGTCTGCACGTGGATATTTTGACCTCTTTGAGGCCTTCGTTGGAAACGGGTTTTTTCATGTAAGGCTAGACAGAAGAAATCTCAGTAACTTCCTTGTGTTGTGTGTATTCAACTGACAGAGTTGAACCTTCCTTTAGACAGAGCAGATTCGAAACACTCTTTTTCTGCAATTTGCAAGTGGAGACTTCAAGTGCTTTGAGGCCAAAGGCAGAAAAGGAAATATCTTCGTATAAAAACCCGACAGAATCATTCTCAGAAACTGCTCTGTGATGTGTGCGTTCAACTCACAGAGTTTAACTTTTCTTCTCATTCAGCAGTTTGGAAACACTCTGTTTGTAAAGTCTGCAAGTGGATATCTTGGCCTCTTAGAGGCCTTCGTTGGAAACGGGTTTTTTCATGTAAGGATAGACAGAGGAATTCCCAGTAACTTCCTTGTGTTGTGTGCATTCAACTCACAGAGTTGAATGATTCTTTACACAGAGCAGATTTGAGACACTCTTTTGGTGGAATTTGTAAGTGGAGAATTCAGCCGCTTTGAGGTCAACGGTAGAAAAGGAAATATCTTCGTATAAAAACTAGACAGAATGATTCTCAGAAACTGTTTTGTGATGTGTGCGTTCAACTCACAGAGTTTAACCTTTCTTTTCAAAGAGCAGTTAGGAAACACTCTGTTTGTAAAGTCTGCAAGTGGATATTCAGACCTCTTTGAGGCCTTCGTTGGAAACGGGATTTCTTCATATTATGCTAGACAGATGAATTCTCAGTAACTTCCTTGTGTTGTGTGTATTCAACTCACAGAGTTGAACGATCCTTTACACAGAGCAGATTTGAAACACTGTTTTTCTGGAATTTGCAAGTGGAGATTTCAGCCGCTTTGAGGTCAATGGTAGAAAAGGAAATATCTTCGTATAAAAACTAGACAGAATGATTCTCAGAAACTCCTTTGTGATGTGTGCGTTCAACTCACAGAGTTTAACCTTTCTTTTCACAGAGCAGTTAGGAAACACTCTGTTTGTGAAGCCTGCCAGTGGATATTCGGACCTCTTTGAGGCCTTCGTTGGAAACGGGATTTCTTCATATTATGCTAGACAGAAGATTTCTCAGTAACTTCTTTGTGTTGTGTGTATGCAACTCACAGAGTTCAACCTTCCTTTAGACAGAGCAGATTTGAAACACTCTTTTTGTGGAATTTGCAAGTGGAGATTTCAAGCGCTTCGATGCCAATGGTAGAAAAGGAAATATCTTCGTATAAAAACAAGACAAACTCGTTCGCAGACACTGCGTAGTGATGTGTGTGTTTAACTCACAGAGTTTCACCTTTCTTTTCATACAGCATTCTGGAAACCCTCTGTTTGTAAAGTCTGCAAGTGGATATTTGGACCTCTTAGATGCCTTCGTTGGAAACGGGATTTCTTCATATAATGCTAGAGGGAAGAATTCTTAGTAACTTCTTTGTGTTGTGTGTATTCAACTGACAGAGTTGAACCTTCCTTTAGACAGAGCAGATTTGAAAGTCTCTTTTTGTGGAATTTGCAAGTGGAGATTTCAAGCGCTTTGAGGCCAAAAGCAGAAAAGGAAATATTTTCCTATAAAAACTCGACAGAATCTTTCTCAGAAACTGCTCTGGGATGTGTGCGTTCAACTCACAGAGTTTAACTTTTCTTTTCATTCAGCAGTTTGGAAACACTCTGTTTGGAAAGTCTGCACGTGGATATTTTGACCTCTTTGAGGCCTTCGTTGGAAACGGGTTTTTTTCATGTAAGGCTAGACAGAAGAAATCTCAGTAACTTCCTTGTGTTGTGTGTATTCAACTGACAGAGTTGAACCTTCCTTTAGACAGAGCAGATTCGAAACACTCTTTTTCTGCAATTTGCAAGTGGAGACTTCAAGCGCTTTGAGGCCAAAGGCAGAAAAGGAAATATCTTCGTATAAAAACCCGACAGAATCATTCTCAGAAACTGCTCTGTGATGTGTGCGTTCAACTCACAGAGTTTAACTTTTCTTTTCATTCAGCAGTTTGGAAACACTCTGTTTGTAAAGTCTGCAAGTGGATATCTTGGCCTCTTAGAGGCCTTCGTTGGAAGCGGGTTTTTTCATGTAAGGTTAGACAGAGGAATTCCCACTAACTTCCTTGTGTTGTGTGCATTCAACTCACAGAGTTGAATGATTCTTTACACAGAGCAGATTTGAGACACTCTTTTGGTGGAATTTGTAAGTGGAGAATTCAGCCGCTTTGATGTCAACGGTAGAAAAGGAAATATCTTCGTATAAAAACTAGACAGAATGATTCTCAGAAACTGTTTTGTGATGTGTGCTTTCAACTCACAGAGTTTAACCTTTCTTTTCAAAGAGCAGTTAGGAAACACTCTGTTTGTAAAGTCTGCAAGTGGATATTCAGACCTCTTTGAGGCCTTCGTTGGAAACGGGATTTCTTCATATTATGCTAGACAGATGAATTCTCAGTAACTTCCTTGTGTTGTGTGTATTCAACTCACAGAGTTGAACGATCCTTTACACAGAGCAGATTTGAAACACTGTTTTTCTGGAATTTGCAAGTGGAGATTTCAGCCGCTTTGAGGTCAATGGTAGAAAAGGAAATATCTTCGTATAAAAACTAGACAGAATGATTCTCAGAAACTCCTTTGTGATGTGTGCGTTCAACTCACAGAGTTTAACCTTTCTTTTCACAGAGCAGTTAGGAAACACTCTGTTTGTGAAGCCTGCCAGTGGATATTCGGACCTCTTTGAGGCCTTCGTTGGAAACGGGATTTCTTCATATTATGCTAGACAGAAGATTTCTCAGTAACTTCTTTGTGTTGTGTGTATGCAACTCACAGAGTTCAACCTTCCTTTAGACAGAGCAGATTTGAAACACTCTTTTTGTGGAATTTGCAAGTGGAGATTTCAAGCGCTTCGATGCCAATGGTAGAAAAGGAAATATCTTCGTATAAAAACAAGACAAACTCGTTCCCAGACACTGCGTAGTGATGTGTGTGTTTAACTCACAGAGTTTCACCTTTCTTTTCATACAGCATTCTGGAAACCCTCTGTTTGTAAAGTCTGCAAGTGGATATTTGGACCTCTTAGATGCCTTCGTTGGAAACGGGATTTCTTCATATAATGCTAGAGGGAAGAATTCTTAGTAACTTCTTTGTGTTGTGTGTATTCAACTGACAGAGTTGAACCTTCCTTTAGACAGAGCAGATTTGAAAGTCTCTTTTTGTGGAATTTGCAAGTGGAGATTTCAAGCGCTTTGAGGCCAAAAGCAGAAAAGGAAATATTTTCCTATAAAAACTAGACAGAATCATTCTCAGAAACTGCTCTGTGATGTGTGTGTTCAACTCACAGAGTTTAACTTTCTTTTCATTCAGCAGTTTGGAAACACTCTGTTTGGAAAGTCTGCACGTGGATATTTTGACCTCTTTGAGGCCTTCGTTGGAAACGGGTTTTTTTCATGTAAGGCTAGACAGAAGAAATCTCAGTAACTTCCTTGTGTTGTGTGTATTCAACTGACAGAGTTGAACCTTCCTTTAGACAGAGCAGATTCGAAACACTCTTTTTCTGCAATTTGCAAGTGGAGACTTCAAGCGCTTTGAGGCCAAAGGCAGAAAAGGAAATATCTTCGTATAAAAACCCGACAGAATCATTCTCAGAAACTGCTCTGTGATGTGTGCGTTCAACTCACAGAGTTTAACTTTTCTTTTCATTCAGCAGTTTGGAAACACTCTGTTTGTAAAGTCTGCAAGTGGATATCTTGGCCTAATTAGAGGCCTTCGTTGGAAACGGGTTTTTTCATGTAAGGTTAGACAGAGGAATTCCCAGTAACTTCCTTGTGTTGTGTGCATTCAACTCACAGAGTTGAATGATTCTTTACACAGAGCAGTTTTGAGACACTCTTTTGGTGGAATTTGTAAGTGGAGAATTCAGCCGCTTTGAGGTCAACGGTAGAAAAGGAAATATCTCCGTATAAAAACTAGACAGAATGATTCTCAGAAACTGTTTTGTGATGTGTGCGTTCAACTCACAGAGTTTAACCTTTCTTTTCAAAGAGCAGTTAGGAAACACTCTGTTTGTAAAGTCTGCAAGTGGATATTCAGACCTCTTTGAGGCCTTCGTTGGAAACGGGATTTCTTCATATTATGCTAGACAGATGAATTCTCAGTAACTTCCTTGTGTTGTGTGTATTCAACTCACAGAGTTGAACGATCCTTTACACAGAGCAGATTTGAAACACTGTTTTTCTGGAATTTGCAAGTGGAGATTTCAGCCGCTTTGAGGTCAATGGTAGAAAAGGAAATATCTTCGTATAAAAACTAGACAGAATGATTCTCAGAAACTCCTTTGTGATGTGTGCGTTCAACTCACAGAGTTTAACCTTTCTTTTCACAGAGCAGTTAGGAAACACTCTGTTTGTGAAGCCTGCCAGTGGATATTCGGACCTCTTTGAGGCCTTCGTTGGAAACGGGATTTCTTCATATTATGCTAGACAGAAGATTTCTCAGTAACTTCTTTGTGTTGTGTGTATGCAACTCACAGAGTTCAACCTTCCTTTAGACAGAGCAGATTTGAAACACTCTTTTTGTGGAATTTGCAAGTGGAGATTTCAAGCGCTTCGATGCCAATGGTAGAAAAGGAAATATCTTCGTATAAAAACAAGACAAACTCGTTCCCAGACACTGCGTAGTGATGTGTGTGTTTAACTCACAGAGTTTAACCTTTCTTTTCATACAGCATTCTGGAAACCCTGTGTTTGTAAAGTCTGCAAGTGGATATTTGGACCTCTTAGATGCCTTCGTTGGAAACGGGATTTCTTCATATAATGCTAGAGGGAAGAATTCTTAGTAACTTCTTTGTGTTGTGTGTATTCAACTGACAGAGTTGAACCTTCCTTTAGACAGAGCAGATTTGAAAGTCTCTTTTTGTGGAATTTGCAAGTGGAGATTTCAAGCGCTTTGAGGCCAAAAGCAGAAAAGGAAATATTTTCCTATAAAAACTCGACAGAATCTTTCTCAGAAACTGCTCTGGGATGTGTGCGTTCAACTCACAGAGTTTAACTTTTCTTTTCATTCAGCAGTTTGGAAACACTCTGTTTGGAAAGTCTGCACGTGGATATTTTGACCTCTTTGAGGCCTTCGTTGGAAACGGGTTTTTTTCATGTAAGGCTAGACAGAAGAAATCTCAGTAACTTCCTTGTGTTGTGTGTATTCAACTGACAGAGTTGAACCTTCCTTTAGACAGAGCAGATTCGAAACACTCTTTTTCTGCAATTTGCAAGTGGAGACTTCAAGCGCTTTGAGGCCAAAGGCAGAAAAGGAAATATCTTCGTATAAAAACCCAACAGAATCATTCTCAGAAACTGCTCTGTGATGTGTGCGTTCAACTCACAGAGTTTAACTTTTCTTTTCATTCAGCAGTTTGGAAACACTCTGTTTGTAAAGTCTGCAAGTGGATATCTTGGCCTCTTAGAGGCCTTCGTTGGAAACGGGTTTTTTCATGTAAGGTTAGACAGAGGAATTCCCAGTAACTTCCCTTGTGTTGTGTGCATTCAACTCACAGAGTTGAATGATTCTTTACACAGAGCAGATTTGAGACACTCTTTTGGTGGAATTTGTAAGTGGAGAATTCAGCCGCTTTGAGGTCAACGGTAGAAAAGGAAATATCTTCGTATAAAAACTAGACAGAATGATTCTCAGAAACTGTTTTGTGATGTGTGCGTTCAACTCACAGAGTTTAACCTTTCTTTTCAAAGAGCAGTTAGGAAACACTCTGTTTGTAAAGTCTGCAAGTGGATATTCAGACCTCTTTGAGGCCTTCGTTGGAAACGGGATTTCTTCATATTATGCTAGACAGATGAATTCTCAGTAACTTTCCTTGTGTTGTGTGTATTCAACTCACAGAGTTGAACGATCCTTTACACAGAGCAGATTTGAAACACTGTTTTTCTGGAATTTGCAAGTGGAGATTTCAGCCGCTTTGAGGTCAATGGTAGAAAAGGAAATATGCTTCGTATAAAAACTAGACAGAGGGATTCTCAGAAACTCTTTTGTGATGTGTGCGTTCAACTCACAGAGTTTAACCTTTCTTTTCACAGAGCAGTTAGGAAACACTCTGTTTGTGAAGCCTGACAGTGGATATTCGGACCTCTTTGAGGCCTTCGTTGGAAACGGGATTTCTTCATATTATGCTAGACAGAAGATTTCTCAGTAACTTCTTTGTGTTGTGTGTATGCAACTCACAGAGTTCAACCTTCCTTTAGACAGAGCAGATTTGAAACACTCTTTTTGTGGAATTTGCAAGTGGAGATTTCAAGCGCTTTGAGGCCAAAAGCAGAAAAGGAAATATTTTCCTATAAAAACTAGACAGAATCTTTCTCAGAAACTGCTCTGTGATGTGTGCGTTCAACTCACAGAGTTTAACTTTTCTTTTCATTCAGCAGTTTGGAAACACTCTGTTTGTAAAGTCTGCAAGTGGATATCTTGGCCTCTTAGAGGCCTTCGTTGGAAACGGGTTTTTTCATGTAAGGATAGACAGAGGAATTCCCAGTAACTTCCTTGTGTTGTGTGCATTGAACTCACAGAGTTGAATGATTCTTTACACAGAGCAGATTTGAGACACTCTTTTGGTGGAATTTGTAAGTGGAGAATTCAGCCGCTTTGAGGTCAACGGTAGAAAAGGAAATATCTTCGTATAAAAACTAGACAGAATGATTCTCAGAAACTGTTTTGTGACGTGTGCGTTCAACTCACAGAGTTTAACCTTTCTTTTCAAAGAGCAGTTAGGAAACACTCTGTTTGTAAAGTCTGCAAGTGGATATTCAGACCTCTTTGAGGCCTTCGTTGGAAACGGGATTTCTTCATATTATGCTAGACAGATGAATTCTCAGTAACTTCCTTGTGTTGTGTGTATTCAACTCACAGAGTTAAACGATCCTTTACACAGAGCAGATTTGTAACACTGTTTTTCTGGAATTTGCAAGTGGAGATTTCAGCCGCTTTGAGGTCAATGGTAGAAAAGGAAATATCTTCGTATAAAAACTAGACAGAATGATTCTCAGAAACTCCTTTGTGATGTGTGCGTTCAACTCACAGAGTTTAACCTTTCTTTTCACAGAGCAGTTAGGAAACACTCTGTTTGTGAAGCCTGCCAGTGGATATTCGGACCTCTTTGAGGCCTTCGTTGGAAACGGGATTTCTTCATATTATGCTAGACAGAAGATTTCTCAGTAACTTCTTTGTGTTGTGTGTATGCAACTCACAGAGTTCAACCTTCCTTTAGACAGAGCAGATTTGAAACACTCTTTTTGTGGAATTTGCAAGTGGAGATTTCAAGCGCTTCGATGCCAATGGTAGAAAAGGAAATATCTTCGTATAAAAACAAGACAAACTCGTTCCCAGACACTGCGTAGTGATGTGTGTGTTTAACTCACAGAGTTTCACCTTTCTTTTCATACAGCATTCTGGAAACCCTCTGTTTGTAAAGTCTGCAAGTGCATATTTGGACCTCTTAGATGCCTTCGTTGGAAACGGGATTTCTTCATATAATGCTAGAGGGAAGAATTCTTAGTAACTTCTTTGTGTTGTGTGTATTCAACTGACAGAGTTGAACCTTCCTTTAGACAGAGCAGATTTGAAAGTCTCTTTTTGTGGAATTTGCAAGTGGAGATTTCAAGCGCTTTGAGGCCAAAAGCAGAAAAGGAAATATTTTCCTATAAAAACTAGACAGAATCTTTCTCAGAAACTGCTCTGGGATGTGTGCGTTCAACTCACAGAGTTTAACTTTTCTTTTCATTCAGCAGTTTGGAAACACTCTGTTTGGAAAGTCTGCACGTGGATATTTTGACCTCTTTGAGGCCTTCGTTGGAAACGGGTTTTTTTCATGTAAGGCTAGACAGAAGAAATCTCAGTAACTTCCTTGTGTTGTGTGTATTCAACTGACAGAGTTGAACCTTCCTTTAGACAGGGCAGATTCGAAACACTCTTTTTCTGCAATTTGCAAGTGGAAACTTCAAGCGCTTTGAGGCCAAAGGCAGAAAAGGAAATATCTTCGTATAAAAACCCGACAGAATCACTCTCAGAAACTGCTCTGTGATGTGTGCGTTCAACTCACAGAGTTTAACTTTTCTTTTCATTCAGCAGTTTGGAAACACTCTGTTTGTAAAGTCTGCAAGTGGATATCTTGGCCTCTTAGAGGCCTTCGTTGGAAACGGGTTTTTTCATGTAAGGTTAGACAGAGGAATTCCCAGTAACTTCCCTTGTGTTGTGTGCATTCAACTCACAGAGTTGAATGATTCTTTACACAGAGCAGATTTGAGACACTCTTTGGGTGGAATTTGTAAGTGGAGAATTCAGCCGCTTTGAGGTCAACGGTAGAAAAGGAAATACCTTCGTATAAAAACTAGACAGAATGATTCTCAGAAACTGTTTTGTGATGTGTGCGTTCAACTCACAGAGTTTAACCTTTCTTTTCAAAGAGCAGTTAGGAAACACTCTGTTTGTAAAGTCTGCAAGTGGATATTCAGACCTCTTTGAAGCCTTCGTTGGAAACGGGATTTCATCATATTATGCTAGACAGATGAATTCTCAGTAACTTCCTTGTGTTGTGTGTATTCAACTCACAGAGTTGAACGATCCTTTACACAGAGCAGATTTGAAACACTGTTTTTCTGGAATTTGCAAGTGGAGATTTCAGCCGCTTTGAGGTCAATGGTAGAAAAGGAAATATCTTCGTATAAAAACTGGACAGAATGATTCTCAGAAACTCCTTTGTGATGTGTGCGTTCAACTCACAGAGTTTAACCTTTCTTTTCACAGAGCAGTTAGGAAACACTCTGTTTGTGAAGCCTGCCAGGGGATATTCGGACCTCTTTGAGGCCTTCGTTGGAAACGGGATTTCTTCATATTTTGCTAGACAGAAGATTTCTCAGTAACTTCTTTGTGTTGTGTGTATACAACTCACAGAGTTCAACCTTCCTTTAGACAGAGCAGATTTGAAACACTCTTTTTGTGGAATTTGCAAGTGGAAATTTCAAGCGCATCGATGCCAATGGTAGAAAAGGAAATATCTTCGTATAAAAACAAGACAAACTCGTTCCCAGACACTGCGTAGTGATGTGTGTGTTTAACTCACAGAGTTTCACCTTTCTTTTCATACAGCATTCTGGAAACCCTCTGTTTGTAAAGTCTGCAAGTGGATATTTGGACCTCTTAGATGCCTTCGTTGGAAACGGGATTTCCTCATATAATGCTAGAGGGAAGAATTCTTAGTAACTTCTTTGTGTTGTGTGTATTCAACTGACAGAGTTGAACCTTCCTTTAGACAGAGCAGATTTGAAAGTCTCTTTCTGTGGAATTTGCAAGTGGAGATTTCAAGCGCTTTGAGGCCAAAAGCAGAAAAGGAAATATTTTCCTATAAAAACTCGACAGAATCTTTCTCAGAAACTGCTCTGGGATGTGTGCGTTCAACTCACAGAGTTTAACTTTTCTTTTCATTCAGCAGTTTGGAAACACTCTGTTTGGAAAGTCTGCACGTGGATATTTTGACCTCTTTGAGGCCTTCGTTGGAAACGGGTTTTTTTCATGTAAGGCTAGACAGAAGAAATCTCAGTAACTTCCTTGTGTTGTGTGTATTCAACTGACAGAGTTGAACCTTCCTTTAGACAGAGCAGATTCGAAACACTCTTTTTCTGCAATTTGCAAGTGGAGACTTCAAGCGCTTTGAGGCCAAAGGCAGAAAAGGAAATATCTTCGTATAAAAACCCGACAGAATCTTTCTCAGAAACTGCTCTGTGATGTGTGCGTTCAACTCACAGAGTTTAACTTTTCTTTTCATTCAGCAGTTTGGAAACACTCTGTTTGTAAAGTCTGCAAGTGGATATCTTGGCCTCTTAGAGGCCTTCGTTGGAAACGGGTTTTTTCATGTAAGGATAGACAGAGGAATTCCCAGTAACTTCCTTGTGTTGTGTGCATTCAACTCACAGAGTTGAATGATTCTTTACACAGAGCAGATTTGAGACACTCTTTTGGTGGAATTTGTAAGTGGAGAATTCAGCCGCTTTGAGGTCAACGGTAGAAAAGGAAATATCTTCGTATAAAAACTAGACAGAATGATTCTCAGAAACTGTTTTGTGATGTGTGCGTTCAACTCACAGAGTTTAACCTTTCTTTTCAAAGAGCAGTTAGGAAACACTCTGTTTGTAAAGTCTGCAAGTGGATATTCAGACCTCTTTGAGGCCTTCGTTGGAAACGGGATTTCTTCATATTATGCTAGACAGATGAATTCTCAGTAACTTCCTTGTGTTGTGTGTATTCAACTCACAGAGTTGAACGATCCTTTACACAGAGCAGATTTGAAACACTGTTTTTCTGGAATTTGCAAGTGGAGATTTCAGCCGCTTTGAGGTCAATGGTAGAAAAGGAAATATCTTCGTATAAAAACTAGACAGAATGATTCTCAGAAACTCCTTTGTGATGTGTGCGTTCAACTCACAGAGTTTAACCTTTCTTTTCACAGAGCAGTTAGGAAACACTCTGTTTGTGAAGCCTGCCAGTGGATATTCGGACCTCTTTGAGGCCTTCGTTGGAAACGGGATTTCTTCATATTATGCTAGACAGAAGATTTCTCAGTAACTTCTTTGTGTTGTGTGTATGCAACTCACAGAGTTCAACCTTCCTTTAGACAGAGCAGATTTGAAACACTCTTTTTGTGGAATTTGCAAGTGGAGATTTCAAGCGCTTCGATGCCAATGGTAGAAAAGGAAATATCTTCGTATAAAAACAAGACAAACTCGTTCCCAGACACTGCGTAGTGATGTGTGTGTTTAACTCACAGAGTTTAACCTTTCTTTTCATACAGCATTCTGGAAACCCTGTGTTTGTAAAGTCTGCAAGTGGATATTTGGACCTCTTAGATGCCTTCGTTGGAAACGGGATTTCTTCATATAATGCTAGAGGGAAGAATTCTTAGTAACTTCTTTGTGTTGTGTGTATTCAACTGACAGAGTTGAACCTTCCTTTAGACAGATCAGATTTGAAAGTCTCTTTTTGTGGAATTTGCAAGTGGAGATTTCAAGCGCTTTGAGGCCAAAAGCAGAAAAGGAAATATTTTCCTATAAAAACTCGACAGAATCTTTCTCAGAAACTGCTCTGGGATGTGTGCGTTCAACTCACAGAGTTTAACTTTTCTTTTCATTCAGCAGTTTGGAAACACTCTGTTTGGAAAGTCTGCACGTGGATATTTTGACCTCTTTGAGGCCTTCGTTGGAAACGGGTTTTTTTCATGTAAGGCTAGACAGAAGAAATCTCAGTAACTTCCTTGTGTTGTGTGTATTCAACTGACAGAGTTGAACCTTCCTTTAGACAGAGCAGATTCGAAACACTCTTTTTCTGCAATTTGCAAGTGGAGACTTCAAGCGCTTTGAGGCCAAAGGCAGAAAAGGAAATATCTTCGTATAAAAACCCGACAGAATCATTCTCAGAAACTGCTCTGTGATGTGTGCGTTCAACTCACAGAGTTTAACTTTTCTTTTCATTCAGCAGTTTGGAAACACTCTGTTTGTAAAGTCTGCAAGTGGATATCTTGGCCTCTTAGAGGCCTTCGTTGGAAACGGGTTTTTTCATGTAAGGATACACACAGGAATTCCCAGTAACTTCCTTGTGTTGTGTGCATTCAACTCACAGAGTTGAATGATTCTTTACACAGAGCAGTTTTGAGACACTCTTTTGGTGGAATTTGTAAGTGGAGAATTCAGCCGCTTTGAGGTCAACGGTAGAAAAGGAAATATCTTCGTATAAAAACTAGACAGAATGATTCTCAGAAACTGTTTTGTGATGTGTGCGTTCAACTCACAGAGTTTAACCTTTCTTTTCAAAGAGCAGTTAGGAAACACTCTGTTTGTAAAGTCTGCAAGAGGATATTCAGACCTCTTTGAGGCCTTCGTTGGAAACGGGATTTCTTCATATTATGCTAGACAGATGAATTCTCAGTAACTTCCTTGTGTTGTGTGTATTCAACTCACAGAGTTGAACGATCCTTTACACAGAGCAGATTTGAAACACTGTTTTTCTGGAATTTGCAAGTGGAGATGTCAGCCGCTTTGAGGTCAATGGTAGAAAAGGAAATATCTTCGTATAAAAACTAGACAGAATGATTCTCAGAAACTCCTTTGTGATGTGTGCGTTCAACTCACAGAGTTTAACCTTTCTTTTCACAGAGCAGTTAGGAAACACTCTGTTTGTGAAGCCTGCCAGGGGATATTCGGACCTCTTTGAGGCCTTCGTTGGAAACGGGATTTCTTCATATTATGCTAGACAGAAGATTTCTCAGTAACTTCTTTGTGTTGTGTGTATGCAACTCACAGAGTTCAACCTTCCTTTAGACAGAGCAGATTTGAAACACTCTTTTTGTGGAATTTGCAAGTGGAGATTTCAAGCGCTTCGATGCCAATGGTAGAAAAGGAAATATCTTCGTATAAAAACAAGACAAACTCGTTCCCAGACACTGCGTAGTGATGTGTGTGTTTAACTCACAGAGTTTCACCTTTCTTTTCATACAGCATTCTGGAAACCCTCTGTTTGTAAAGTCTGCAAGTCGATATTTGGACCTCTTAGATGCCTTCGTTGGAAACGGGATTTCTTCATATAATGCTAGAGGGAAGAATTCTTAGTAACTTCTTTGTGTTGTGTGTATTCAACTGACAGAGTTGAACCTTCCTTTAGACAGAGCAGATTTGAAAGTCTCTTTTTGTGGAATTTGCAAGTGGAGATTTCAAGCGCTTTGAGGCCAAAAGCAGAAAAGGAAATATTTTCCTATAAAAACTCGACAGAATCTTTCTCAGAAACTGCTCTGGGATGTGTGCGTTCAACTCACAGAGTTTAACTTTTCTTTTCATTCAGCAGTTTGGAAACACTCTGTTTGGAAAGTCTGCACGTGGATATTTTGACCTCTTTGAGGCCTTCGTTGGAAACGGGTTTTTTTCATGTAAGGCTAGACAGAAGAAATCTCAGTAACTTCCTTGTGTTGTGTGTATTCAACTGACAGAGTTGAACCTTCCTTTAGACAGAGCAGATTCGAAACACTCTTTTTCTGCAATTTGCAAGTGGAGACTTCAAGCGCTTTGAGGCCAAAGGCAGAAAAGGAAATATCTTCGTATAAAAACCCGACAGAATCATTCTCAGAAACTGCTCTGTGATGTGTGCGTTCAACTCACAGAGTTTAACTTTTCTTTTCATTCAGCAGTTTGGAAACACTCTGTTTGTAAAGTCTGCAAGTGGATATCTTGGCCTCTTAGAGGCCTTCGTTGGAAACGGGTTTTTTCATGTAAGGATAGACAGAGGAATTCCCAGTAACTTCCTTGTGTTGTGTGCATTCAACTCACAGAGTTGAATGATTCTTTACACAGAGCAGTTTTGAGACACTCTTTTGGTGGAATTTGTAAGTGGAGAATTCAGCCGCTTTGAGGTCAACGGTAGAAAAGGAAATATCTTCGTATAAAAACTAGACAGAATGATTCTCAGAAACTGTTTTGTGATGTGTGCGTTCAACTCACAGAGTTTAACCTTTCTTTTCAAAGAGCAGTTAGGAAACACTCTGTTTGTAAAGTCTGCAAGTGGATATTCAGACCTCTTTGAGGCCTTCGTTGGAAACGGGATTTCTTCATATTATGCTAGACAGATGAATTCTCAGTAACTTCCTTGTGTTGTGTGTATTCAACTCACAGAGTTGAACGATCCTTTACACAGAGCAGATTTGAAACACTGTTTTTCTGGAATTTGCAAGTGGAGATTTCAGCCGCTTTGAGGTCAATGGTAGAAAAGGAAATATCTTCGTATAAAAACTAGACAGAATGATTCTCAGAAACTCCTTTGTGATGTGTGCGTTCAACTCACAGAGTTTAACCTTTCTTTTCACAGAGCAGTTAGGAAACACTCTGTTTGTGAAGCCTGCCAGTGGATATTCGGACCTCTTTGAGGCCTTCGTTGGAAACGGGATTTCTTCATATTATGCTAGACAGAAGATTTCTCAGTAACTTCTTTGTGTTGTGTGTATGCAACTCACAGAGTTCAACCTTCCTTTAGACAGAGCAGATTTGAAACACTCTTTTTGTGGAATTTGCAAGTGGAGATTTCAAGCGCTTCGATGCCAATGGTAGAAAAGGAAATATCTTCGTATAAAAACAAGACAAACTCGTTCCCAGACACTGCGTAGTGATGTGTGTGTTTAACTCACAGAGTTTCACCTTTCTTTTCATACAGCATTCTGGAAACCCTGTGTTTGTAAAGTCTGCAAGTGGATATTTGGACCTCTTAGATGCCTTCGTTGGAAACGGGATTTCTTCATATAATGCTAGAGGGAAGAATTCTTAATAACTTCTTTGTGTTGTGTGTATTCAACTGACAGAGTTGAAACTTCCTTTAGACAGAGCAGATTTGAAAGTCTCTTTTTGTGGAATTTGCAAGTGGAGATTTCAAGCGCTTTGAGGCCAAAAGCAGAAAAGGAAATATTTTCCTATAAAAACTCGACAGAATCTTTCTCAGAAACTGCTCTGGGATGTGTGCGTTCAACTCACAGAGTTTAACTTTTCTTTTCATTCAGCAGTTTGGAAACACTCTGTTTGGAAAGTCTGCACGTGGATATTTTGACCTCTTTGAGGCCTTCGTTGGAAACGGGTTTTTTTCATGTAAGGCTAGACAGAAGAAATCTCAGTAACTTCCTTGTGTTGTGTGTATTCAACTGACAGAGTTGAACCTTCCTTTAGACAGAGCAGATTCGAAACACTCTTTTTCTGCAATTTGCAAGTGGAGACTTCAAGCGCTTTGAGGCCAAAGGCAGAAAAGGAAATATCTTCGTATAAAAACCCGACAGAATCATTCTCAGAAACTGCTCTGTGATGTGTGCGTTCAACTCACAGAGTTTAACTTTTCTTTTCATTCAGCAGTTTGGAAACACTCTGTTTGTAAAGTCTGCAAGTGGATATCTTGGCCTCTTAGAGGCCTTCGTTGGAAACGGGTTTTTTCATGTAAGGTTAGACAGAGGAATTCCCAGTAACTTCCTTGTGTTGTGTGCATTCAACTCACAGAGTTGAATGATTCTTTACACAGAGCAGATTTGAGACACTCTTTTGGTGGAATTTGTAAGTGGAGAATTCAGCTGCTTTGAGGTCAACGGTAGAAAAGGAAATATCTTCGTATAAAAACTAGACAGAATGATTCTCAGAAACTGTTTTGTGATGTGTGCGTTCAACTCACAGAGTTTAACCTTTCTTTTCAAAGAGCAGTTAGGAAACACTCTGTTTGTAAAGTCTGCAAGTGGATATTCAGACCTCTTTGAGGCCTTCGTTGGAAATGGGATTTCTTCATATTATGCTAGACAGATGAATTCTCAGTAACTTCCTTGTGTTGTGTGTATTCAACTCACAGAGTTGAACGATCCTTTACACACAGCAGATTTGAAACACTGTTTTTCTGGAATTTGCAAGTGGAGATTTCAGCTGCTTTGAGGTCAATGGTAGAAAAGGAAATATCTTCGTATAAAAACTAGACAGAATGATTCTCAGAAACTCCTTTGTGATGTGTGCGTTCAACTCACAGAGTTTAACCTTTCTTTTCACAGAGCAGTTAGGAAACACTCTGTTTGTGAAGCCTGCCAGTGGATATTCGGACCTCTTTGAGGCCTTCGTTGGAAACGGGATTTCTTCATATTATGCTAGACAGAAGATTTCTCAGTAACTTCTTTGTGTTGTGTGTATGCAACTCACAGAGTTCAACCTTCCTTTAGACAGAGCAGATTTGAAACACTCTTTTTGTGGAATTTGCAAGTGGAGATTTCAAGCGCTTCGATGCCAATGGTAGAAAAGGAAATATCTTCGTATAAAAACAAGACAAACTCGTTCCCAGACACTGCGTAGTGATGTGTGTGTTTAACTCACAGAGTTTAACCTTTCTTTTCATACAGCATTCTGGAAACCCTGTGTTTGTAAAGTCTGCAAGTGGATATTTGGACCTCTTAGATGCCTTCGTTGGAAACGGGATTTCTTCATATAATGCTAGAGGGAAGAATTCTTAGTAACTTCTTTGTGTTGTGTGTATTCAACTGACAGAGTTGAACCTTCCTTTAGACAGAGCAGATTTGAAAGTCTCTTTTTGTGGAATTTGCAAGTGGAGATTTCAAGCGCTTTGAGGCCAAAAGCAGAAAAGGAAATATTTTCCTATAAAAACTCGACAGAATCTTTCTCAGAAACTGCTCTGGGATGTGTGCGTTCAACTCACAGAGTTTAACTTTTCTTTTCATTCAGCAGTTTGGAAACACTCTGTTTGGAAAGTCTGCACGTGGATATTTTGACCTCTTTGAGGCCTTCGTTGGAAACGGGTTTTTTTCATGTAAGGCTAGACAGAAGAAATCTCAGTAACTTCCTTGTGTTGTGTGTATTCAACTGACAGAGTTGAACCTTCCTTTAGACAGAGCAGATTCGAAACACTCTTTTTCTGCAATTTGCAAGTGGAGACTTCAAGCGCTTTGAGGCCAAAGGCAGAAAAGGAAATATCTTCGTATAAAAACCCGACAGAATCATTCTCAGAAACTGCTCTGTGATGTGTGCGTTCAACTCACAGAGTTTAACTTTTCTTTTCATTCAGCAGTTTGGAAACACTCTGTTTGTAAAGTCTGCAAGTGGATATCTTGGCCTCTTAGAGGCCTTCGTTGGAAACGGGTTTTTTCATGTAAGGTTAGACAGAGGAATTCCCAGTAACTTCCTTGTGTTGTGTGCATTCAACTCACAGAGTTGAATGATTCTTTACACAGAGCAGATTTGAGACACTCTTTTGGTGGAATTTGTAAGTGGAGAATTCAGCCGCTTTGAGGTCAACGGTAGAAAAGGAAATATCTTCGTATAAAAACTAGACAGAATGATTCTCAGAAACTGTTTTGTGATGTGTGCGTTCAACTCACACAGTTTAACCTTTCTTTTCAGAGAGCAGTTAGGAAACACTCTGTTTGTAAAGTCTGCAAGTGGATATTCAGACCTCTTTGAGGCCTTCGTTGGAAACGGGATTTCTTCATATTATGCTAGACAGATGAATTCTCAGTAACTTCCTTGTGTTGTGTGTATTCAACTCACAGAGTTGAACGATCCTTTACACAGAGCAGATTTGAAACACTGTTTTTCTGGAATTTGCAAGTGGAGATTTCAGCCGATTTGAGGTCAATGGTAGAAAAGGAAATATCTTCGTATAAAAACTAGACAGAATGATTCTCAGAAACTTCTTTGTGATGTGTGCGTTCAACTCACAGAGTTTAACCTTTCTTTTCACAGAGCAGTTAGGAAACACTCTGTTTGTGAAGCCTGCCAGTGGATATTCGGACCTCTTTGAGGCCTTCGTTGGAAACGGGATTTCTTCATATTATGCTAGACAGAAGATTTCTCAGTAACTTCTTTGTGTTGTGTGTATGCAACTCACAGAGTTCAACCTTCCTTTAGAGAGAGCATATTTGAAACACTCTTTTTGTGGAATTTGCAAGTGGAGATTTCAAGCGCTTCGATGCCAATGGTAGAAAAGGAAATATCTTCGTATAAAAACAAGACAAACTCGTTCCCAGACACTGCGTAGTGATGTGTGTGTTTAACTCACAGAGTTTAACCTTTCTTTTCATACAGCATTCTGGAAACCCTCTGTTTGTAAAGTCTGCAAGTGGATATTTGGACCTCTTAGATGCCTTCGTTGGAAACGGGATTTCTTCATATAATGCTAGAGGGAAGAATTCTTAGTAACTTCTTTGTGTTGTGTGTATTCAACTGACAGAGTTGAACCTTCCTTTAGACAGAGCAGATTTGAAAGTCTCTTTTTGTGGAATTTGCAAGTGGAGATTTCAAGCGCTTTGAGGCCAAAAGCAGAAAAGGAAATATTTTCCTATAAAAACTCGACAGAATCTTTCTCAGAAACTGCTCTGGGATGTGTGCGTTCAACTCACAGAGTTTAACTTTTCTTTTCATTCAGCAGTTTGGAAACACTCTGTTTGGAAAGTCTGCACGTGGATATTTTGACCTCTTTGAGGCCTTCGTTGGAAACGGGTTTTTTTCATGTAAGGCTAGACAGAAGAAATCTCAGTAACTTCCTTGTGTTGTGTGTATTCAACTGACAGAGTTGAACCTTCCTTTAGACAGAGCAGATTCGAAACACTCTTTTTCTGCAATTTGCAAGTGGAGACTTCAAGCGCTTTGAGGCCAAAGGCAGAAAAGGAAATATCTTCGTATAAAAACCCGACAGAATCATTCTCAGAAACTGCTCTGTGATGTGTGCGTTCAACTCACAGAGTTTAACTTTTCTTTTCATTCAGCAGTTTGGAAACACTCTGTTTGTAAAGTCTGCAAGTGGATATCTTGGCCTCTTAGAGGCCTTCGTTGGAAACGGGTTTTTTCATGTAAGGTTAGACAGAGGAATTCCCAGTAACTTCCTTGTGTTGTGTGCATTCAACTCACAGAGTTGAATGATTCTTTACACAGAGCAGATTTGAGACACTCTTTTGGTGGAATTTGTTAGTGGAGAATTCAGCCGCTTTGAGGTCAACGGTAGAAAAGGAAATATCTTCATATAAAAACTAGACAGAATGATTCTCAGAAACTGTTTTGTGATGTGTGCGTTCAACTCACAGAGTTTAACCTTTCTTTTCAAAGAGCAGTTAGGAAACACTCTGTTTGTAAAGTCTGCAAGTGGATATTCAGACCTCTTTGAGGCCTTCGTTGGAAACGGGATTTCTTCATATTATGCTAGACAGATGAATTCTCAGTAACTTCCTTGTGTTGTGTATATTCAACTCACAGAGTTGAACGATCCTTTACACAGAGCAGATTTGAAACACTGTTTTTCTGGAATTTGCAAGTGGAGATTTCAGCCGCTTTGAGGTCAATGGTAGAAAAGGAAATATCTTCGTATAAAAACTAGACAGAATGATTCTCAGAAACTCCTTTGTGATGTGTGCGTTCAACTCACAGAGTTTAACCTTTCTTTTCACAGAGCAGTTAGGAAACACTCTGTTTGTGAAGCCTGCCAGTGGATATTCGGACCTCTTTGAGGCCTTCGTTGGAAACGGGATTTCTTCATATTATGCTAGACAGAAGATTTCTCAGTAACTTCTTTGTGTTGTGTGTATGCAACTCACAGAGTTCAACCTTCCTTTAGACAGAGCAGATTTGAAACACTCTTTTTGTGGAATTTGCAAGTGGAGATTTCAAGCGCTTCGATGCCAATGGTAGAAAAGGAAATATCTTCGTATAAAAACAAGACAAACTCGTTCCCAGACACTGCGTAGTGATGTGTGTGTTTAACTCACAGAGTTTAACCTTTCTTTTCATACAGCATTCTGGAAACCCTGTGTTTGTAAAGTCTGCAAGTGGATATTTGGACCTCTTAGATGCCTTCGTTGGAAACGGGATTTCTTCATATAATGCTAGAGGGAAGAATTCTTAGTAACTTCTTTGTGTTGTGTGTATTCAACTGACAGAGTTGAACCTTCCTTTAGACAGAGCAGATTTGAAAGTCTCTTTTTGTGGAATTTGCAAGTGGAGATTTCAAGCGCTTTGAGGCCAAAAGCAGAAAAGGAAATATTTTCCTATAAAAACTCGACAGAATCTTTCTCAGAAACTGCTCTGGGATGTGTGCGTTCAACTCACAGAGTTTAACTTTTCTTTTCATTCAGCAGTTTGGAAACACCCTGTTTGGAAAGTCTGCACGTGGATATTTTGACCTCTTTGAGGCCTTCGTTGGAAACGGGTTTTTTTCATGTAAGGCTAGACAGAAGAAATCTCAGTAACTTCCTTGTGTTGTGTGTATTCAACTGACAGAGTTGAACCTTCCTTTAGACAGAGCAGATTCGAAACACTCTTTTTCTGCAATTTGCAAGTGGAAACTTCAAGCGCATTGAGGCCAAAGGCAGAAAAGGAAATATCTTCGTATAAAAACCCGACAGAATCACTCTCAGAAACTGCTCTGTGATGTGTGCGTTCAACTCACAGAGTTTAACTTTTCTTTTCATTCAGCAGTTTGGAAACACTCTGTTTGTAAAGTCTGCAAGTGGATATCTTGGCCTCTTAGAGGCCTTCGTTGGAAACGGGTTTTTTCATGTAAGGTTAGACAGAGGAATTCCCAGTAACTTCCTTGTGTTGTGTGCATTCAACTCACAGAGTTGAATGATTCTTTACACAGAGCAGATTTGAGACACTCTTTTGGTGGAATTTGATAGTGGAGAATTCAGCCGCTTTGAGGTCAACGGTAGAAAAGGAAATATCTTCGTATAAAAACTAGACAGAATGATTCTCAGAAACTGTTTTGTGATGTGTGCGTTCAACTCACAGAGTTTAACCTTTCTTTTCAAAGAGCAGTTAGGAAACACTCTGTTTGTAAAGTCTGCAAGTGGATATTCAGACCTCTTTGAGGCCTTCGTTGGAAACGGGATTTCTTCATATTATGCTAGACAGATGAATTCTCAGTAACTTCCTTGTGTTGTGTGTATTCAACTCACAGAGTTGAACGATCCTTTACACAGAGCAGATTTGAAACACTGTTTTTCTGGAATTTGCAAGTGGAGATTTCAGCCGCTTTGAGGTCAATGGTAGAAAAAGAAATATCTTCGTATAAAAACTAGACAGAATGATTCTCAGAAACTCCTTTGTGATGTGGGCGTTCAACTCACAGAGTTTAACCTTTCTTTTCACAGAGCAGTTAGGAAACACTCTGTTTGTGAAGCCTGCCAGTGGATATTCGGACCTCTTTGAGGCCTTCGTTGGAAACGGGATTTCTTCATATTATGCTAGACAGAAGATTTCTCAGTAACTTCTTTGTGTTGTGTGTATGCAACTGACAGAGTTCAACCTTCCTTTAGACAGAGCAGATTTGAAACACTCTTTTTGTGGAATTTGCAAGTGGAGATTTCAAGCGCTTTGAGGCCAAAAGCAGAAAAGGAAATATTTTCCTATAAAAACTAGACAGAATCCTTCTCAGAAACTGCTCTGTGATGTGTGCGTTCAACTCACAGAGTTTAACTTTTCTTTTCATTCAGCAGTTTGGAAACACTCTGTTTGTAAAGTCTGCAAGTGGATATCTTGGCCTCTTAGAGGCCTTCGTTGGAAACGGGTTTTTTCATGTAAGGATAGACAGAGGAATTCCCAGTAACTTCCTTGTGTTGTATGCATTCAACTCACAGAGTTGAATGATTCTTTACACAGAGCAGATTTGAGACACTCTTTTGGTGGAATTTGTAAGTGGAGAATTCAGCCGCTTTGAGGTCAACGGTAGAAAAGGAAATATCTTTGTATAAAAACTAGACAGAATGATTCTCAGAAACTCCTTTGTGATGTGTGCGTTCAACTCACAGAGTTTAACCTTTCTTTTCACAGAGCAGTTAGGAAACACTCTGTTTGTGAAGCCTGCCAGTGGATATTCGGACCTCTTTGAGGCCTTCGTTGGAAACGGGATTTCTTCATATTATGCTAGACAGAAGATTTCTCAGTAACTTCTTTGTGTTGTGTGTATGCAACTCACAGAGTTCAACCTTCCTTTAGAGAGAGCATATTTGAAACACTCTTTTTGTGGAATTTGCAAGTGGAGATTTCAAGCGTTTCGATGCCAATGGTAGAAAAGGAAATATCTTCGTATAAAAACAAGACAAACTCGTTCCCAGACACTGCGTAGTGATGTGTGTGTTTAACTCACAGAGTTTAACCTTTCTTTTCATACAGCATTCTGGAAACCCTGTGTTTGTAAAGTCTGCAAGTGGATATTTGGACCTCTTAGATGCCTTCGTTGGAAACGGGATTTCTTCATATAATGCTAGAGGGAAGAATTCTTAGTAACTTCTTTGTGTTGTGTGTATTCAACTGACAGAGTTGAACCTTCCTTTAGACAGAGCAGATTTGAAAGTCTCTTTTTGTGGAATTTGCAAGTGGAGATTTCAAGCGCTTTGAGGCCAAAAGCAGAAAAGGAAATATTTTCCTATAAAAACTAGACAGAATCTTTCTCAGAAACTGCTCTGGGATGTGTGCGTTCAACTCACAGAGTTTAACTTTTCTTTTCATTCAGCAGTTTGGAAACACTCTGTTTGGAAAGTCTGCACGTGGATATTTTGACCTCTTTGAGGCCTTCGTTGGAAACGGGTTTTTTTCATGTAAGGCTAGACAGAAGAAATCTCAGTAACTTCCTTGTGTTGTGTGTATTCAACTGACAGAGTTGAACCTTCCTTTAGACAGAGCAGATTCGAAACACTCTTTTTCTGCAATTTGCAAGTGGAGACTTCAAGCGCTTTGAGGCCAAAGGCAGAAAAGGAAATATCTTCGTATAAAAACCCGACAGAATCATTCTCAGAAACTGCTCTGTGATGTGTGCGTTCAACTCACAGAGTTTAACTTTTCTTTTCATTCAGCAGTTTGGAAACACTCTGTTTGTAAAGTCTGCAAGTGGATATCTTGGCCTCTTAGAGGCCTTCGTTGGAAACGGGTTTTTTCATGTAAGGTTAGACAGAGGAATTCCCAGTAACTTCCTTGTGTTGTGTGCATTCAACTCACAGAGTTGAATGATTCTTTACACAGAGCAGATTTGAGACACTCTTTTGGTGGAATTTGTAAGTGGAGAATTCAGCCGCTTTGAGGTCAACGGTAGAAAAGGAAATATCTTCGTATAAAAACTAGACAGAATGATTCTCAGAAACTGTTTTGTGATGTGTGCGTTCAACTCACAGAGTTTAACCTTTCTTTTCAAAGAGCAGTTAGGAAACACTCTGTTTGTAAAGTCTGCAAGTGGATATTCAGACCTCTTTGAGGCCTTCGTTGGAAACGGGATTTCTTCATATTATGCTAGACAGATGAATTCTCAGTAACTTCCTTGTGTTGTGTGTATTCAACTCACAGAGTTGAACGATCCTTTACACAGAGCAGATTTGAAACACTGTTTTTCTGGAATTTGCAAGTGGAGATTTCAGCCGCTTTGAGGTCAATGGTAGAAAAGGAAATATCTTCGTATAAAAACTAGACAGAATGATTCTCAGAAACTCCTTTGTGATGTGTGCGTTCAACTCACAGAGTTTAACCTTTCTTTTCACAGAGCAGTTAGGAAACACTCTGTTTGTGAAGTCTGCCAGTGGATATTCGGACCTCTTTGAGGCCTTCGTTAGAAACGGGATTTCTTCATATTATGCAAGACAGAAGATTTCTCAGTAACTTCTTTGTGTTGTGTGTATGCAACTCACAGAGTTCAACCTTCCTTTAGACAGAGCAGATTTGAAACACTCTTTTTGTGGAATTTGCAAGTGGAGATTTCAAGCGCTTCGATGCCAATGGTAGAAAAGGAAATATCTTCGTATAAAACAAGACAAAACTCGTTCCCAGACACTGCGTAGTGATGTGTGTGTTTAACTCACAGAGTTTCACCTTTCTTTTCATACAGCATTCTGGAAACCCTCTGTTTGTAAAGTCTGCAAGTGGATATTTGGACCTCTTAGATGCCTTCGTTGGAAACGGGATTTCTTCATATAATGCTAGAGGGAAGAATTCTTAGTAACTTCTTTGTGTTGTGTGTATTCAACTGACAGAGTTGAACCTTCCTTTAGACAGAGCAGATTTGAAAGTCTCTTTTTGTGGAATTTGCAAGTGGAGATTTCAAGCGCTTTGAGGCCAAAAGCAGAAAAGGAAATATTTTCCTATAAAAACTAGACAGAATCTTTCTCAGAAACTGCTCTGGGATGTGTGCGTTCAACTCACAGAGTTTAACTTTTCTTTTCATTCAGCAGTTTGGAAACACTCTGTTTGGAAAGTCTGCACGTGGATATTTTGACCTCTTTGAGGCCTTCGTTGGAAACGGGTGTTTTTCATGTAAGGCTAGACAGAAGAAATCTCAGTAACTTCCTTGTGTTGTGTGTATTCAACTGACAGAGTTGAACCTTCCTTTAGACAGAGCAGATTCGAAACACTCTTTTTCTGCAATTTGCAAGTGGAGACTTCAAGCGCTTTGAGGCCAAAGGCAGAAAAGGAAATATCTTCGTATAAAAACCCGACAGAATCATTCTCAGAAACTGCTCTGTGATGTGTGCGTTCAACTCACAGAGTTTAACTTTTCTTTTCATTCAGCAGTTTGGAAACACTCTGTTTGTAAAGTCTGCAAGTGGATATCTTGGCCTCTTAGAGGCCTTCGTTGGAAACGGGTTTTTTCATGTAAGGATAGACAGAGGAATTCCCAGTAACTTCCTTGTGTTGTGTGCATTCAACTCACAGAGTTGAATGATTCTTTACACAGAGCAGATTTGAGACACTCTTTTGGTGGAATTTGTAAGTGGAGAATTCAGCCGCTTTGAGGTCAACGGTAGAAAAGGAAATATCTTCGTATAAAAACTAGACAGAATGATTCTCAGAAACTGTTTTGTGATGTGTGCGTTCAACTCACAGAGTTTAACCTTTCTTTTCAAAGAGCAGTTAGGAAACACTCTGTTTGTAAAGTCTGCAAGTGGATATTCAGACCTCTTTGAGGCCTTCGTTGGAAACGGGATTTCTTCATATTATGCTAGACAGATGAATTCTCAGTAACTTCCTTGTGTTGTGTGTATTCAACTCACAGAGTTGAACGATCCTTTACACAGAGCAGATTTGAAACACTGTTTTTCTGGAATTTGCAAGTGGAGATTTCAGCCGCTTTGAGGTCAATGGTAGAAAAGGAAATATCTTCGTATAAAAACTAGACAGAATGATTCTCAGAAACTCCTTTGTGATGTGTGCGTTCAACTCACAGGGTTTAACCTTTCTTTTCACAGAGCAGTTAGGAAACACTCTGTTTGTGAAGCCTGCCAGTGGATATTCGGACCTCTTTGAGGCCTTCGTTGGAAACGGGATTTCTTCATATTATGCTAGACAGAAGATTTCTCAGTAACTTCTTTGTGTTGTGTGTATGCAACTCACAGAGTTCAACCTTCCTTTAGACAGAGCAGATTTGAAACACTCTTTTTGTGGAATTTGCAAGTGGAGATTTCAAGCGCTTCGATGCCAATGGTAGAAAAGGAAATATCTTCGTATAAAAACAAGACAAACTCGTTCCCAGACACTGCGTAGTGATGTGTGTGTTTAACTCACAGAGTTTAACCTTTCTTTTCATACAGCATTCTGGAAACCCTCTGTTTGTAAAGTCTGCAAGTGGATATTTGGACCTCTTAGATGCCTTCGTTGGAAACGGGATTTCTTCATATAATGCTAGAGGGAAGAATTCTTAGTAACTTCTTTGTGTTGTGTGTATTCAACTGACAGAGTTGAACCTTCCTTTAGACAGAGCAGATTTGAAAGTCTCTTTTTGTGGAATTTGCAAGTGGAGATTTCAAGCGCTTTGAGGCCAAAAGCAGAAAAGGAAATATTTTCCTATAAAAACTAGACAGAATCTTTCTCAGAAACTGCTCTGGGATGTGTGCGTTCAACTCACAGAGTTTATACTTTTCTTTTCATTCAGCAGTTTGGAAACACTCTGTTTGGAAAGTCTGCACATGGATATTTTGACCTCTTTGAGGCCTTCGTTGGAAACGGGTTTTTTTCATGTAAGGCTAGACAGAAGAAATCTCAGTAACTTCCTTGTGTTGTGTGTATTCAACTGACAGAGTTGAACCTTCCTTTAGACAGAGCAGATTCGAAACACTCTTTTTCTGCAATTTGCAAGTGGAGACTTCAAGCGCTTTGAGGCCAAAGGCAGAAAAGGAAATATCTTCGTATAAAAACCCGACAGAATCATTCTCAGAAACTGCTCTGTGATGTGTGCGTTCAACTCACAGAGTTTAACTTTTCTTTTCATTCAGCAGTTTGGAAACACTCTGTTTGTAAAGTCTGCAAGTGGATATCTTGGCCTCTTAGAGGCCTTCGTTGGAAACGGGTTTTTTCATTTAAGGTTAGACAGAGGAATTCCCAGTAACTTCCTTGTGTTGTGTGCATTCAACTAACAGAGTTGAATGATTCTTTACACAGAGCAGATTTGAGACACTGTTGGTGGAATTTGTAAGTGGAGAATTCAGCCGCTTTGAGGTCAATGGTAGAAAAGGAAATATCTTCGTATAAAAACTAGACAGAATGATTCTCAGAAACTGTTTTGTGATGTGTGCGTTCAACTCACAGAGTTTAACCTTTCTTTTCAAAGAGCAGTTAGGAAACACTCTGTTTGTAAAGTCTGCAAGCGGATATTCAGACCTCTTTGAGGCCTTCGTTGGAAACGGGATTTCTTCATATTATGCTAGACAGATGAATTCTCAGTAACTTCCTTGTGTTGTGTGTATTCAACTCACAGAGTTGAACGATCCTTTACACAGAGCAGATTTGAAACACTGTTTTTCTGGAATTTGCAAGTGGAGATTTCAGCCGCTTTGAGGTCAATGGTAGAAAAGGAAATATCTTCGTATAAAAACTAGACAGAATGATTCTCAGAAACTCCTTTGTGATGTGTGCGTTCAACTCACAGAGTTTAACCTTTCTTTTCACAGAGCAGTTAGGAAACACTCTGTTTGTGAAGCCTGCCAGTGGATATTCGGACCTCTTTGAGGCCTTCGTTGGAAACGGGATTTCTTCATATTATGCTAGACAGAAGATTTCTCAGTAACTTCTTTGTGTTGTGTGTATGCAACTCACAGAGTTCAACCTTCCTTTAGACAGAGCAGATTTGAAACACTCTTTTTGTGGAATTTGCAAGTGGAGATTTCAAGCGCTTCGATGCCAATGGTAGAAAAGGAAATATCTTCGTATAAAAACAAGACAAACTCGTTCCCAGACACTGCGTAGTGATGTGTGTGTTTAACTCACAGAGTTTAACCTTTCTTTTCATACAGCATTCTGGAAACCCTCTGTTTGTAAAGTCTGCAAGTGGATATTTGGACCTCTTAGATGCCTTCGTTAGAAACGGGATTTCTTCATATAATGCTAGAGGGAAGATTTTTCAGTAACTTCTTTGTGTTGTGTGTATACAACTCACAGAGTTCAACCTTCCTTTAGACAGAGCAGATTTGAAACACTCTTTTTGTGGAATTTGCAAGTGGAGATTTCAAGCGCTTTGAGGCCAAAAGCAGAAAAGGAAATATTTTCCTATAAAAACTAGACAGAATCATTCTCAGAAACTGCTCTGTGATGTGTGTGTTCAACTCACAGAGTTTAACTTTCTTTTCATTCAGCAGTTTGCAAACACTCTGTTTGGAAAGTCTGCACGTGGATATTTTGACCTCTTTGAGGCCTTCGTTGGAAACGGGTTTTTTTCATGTAAGGCTAGACAGAAGAAATCTCAGTAACTTCCTTGTGTTGTGTGTATTCAACTGACAGAGTTGAACCTTCCTTTAGACAGAGCAGATTCGAAACACTCTTTTTCTGCAATTTGCAAGTGGAGACTTCAAGCGCTTTGAGGCCAAAGGCAGAAAAGGAAATATCTTCGTATAAAAACCCGACAGAATCATTCTCAGAAACTGCTCTGTGATGTGTGCGTTCAACTCACAGAGTTTAACTTTTCTTTTCATTCAGCAGTTTGGAAACACTCTGTTTGTAAAGTCTGCAAGTGGATATCTTGGCCTCTTAGAGGCCTTCGTTGGAAACGGGTTTTTTCATGTAAGGATACACACAGGAATTCCCAGTAACTTCCTTGTGTTGTGTGCATTCAACTCACAGAGTTGAATGATTCTTTACACAGAGCAGTTTTGAGACACTCTTTTGGTGGAATTTGTAAGTGGAGAATTCAGCCGCTTTGAGGTCAACGGTAGAAAAGGAAATATCTTCGTATAAAAACTAGACAGAATGATTCTCAGAAACTGTTTTGTGATGTGTGCGTTCAACTCACAGAGTTTAACCTTTCTTTTCAAAGAGCAGTTAGGAAACACTCTGTTTGTAAAGTCTGCAAGAGGATATTCAGACCTCTTTGAGGCCTTCGTTGGAAACGGGATTTCTTCATATTATGCTAGACAGATGAATTCTCAGTAACTTCCTTGTGTTGTGTGTATTCAACTCACAGAGTTGAACGATCCTTTACACAGAGCAGATTTGAAACACTGTTTTTCTGGAATTTGCAAGTGGAGATTTCAGCCGCTTTGAGGTCAATGGTAGAAAAGGAAATATCTTCGTATAAAAACTAGACAGAATGATTCTCAGAAACTCCTTTGTGATGTGTGCGTTCAACTCACAGAGTTTAACCTTTCTTTTCACAGAGCAGTTAGGAAACACTCTGTTTGTGAAGCCTGCCAGTGGATATTCGGACCTCTTTTAGGCCTTCGTTGGAAACGGGATTTCTTCATATTATGCTATTCAGAAGATTTCTCAGTAACTTCTTTGTGTTGTGTGTATGCAACTCACAGAGTTCAACCTTCCTTTAGACAGAGCAGATTTGAAACACTCTTTTTGTGGAATTTGCAAGTGGAGATTTCAAGCGCTTCGATGCCAATGGTAGAAAAGGAAATATCTTCGTATAAAAACAAGACAAACTCGTTCCCAGACACTGCGTAGTGATGTGTGTGTTTAACTCACAGAGTTTAACCTTTCTTTTCATACAGCATTCTGGAAACCCTGTGTTTGTAAAGTCTGCAAGTGGATATTTGGACCTCTTAGATGCCTTCGTTGGAAACGGGATTTCTTCATATAATGCTAGAGGGAAGAATTCTTAGTAACTTCTTTGTGTTGTGTGTATTCAACTGACAGAGTTGAACCTTCCTTTAGACAGATCAGATTTGAAAGTCTCTTTTTGTGGAATTTGCAAGTGGAGATTTCAAGCGCTTTGAGGCCAAAAGCAGAAAAGGAAATATTTTCCTATAAAAACTCGACAGAATCTTTCTCAGAAACTGCTCTGGGATGTGTGCGTTCAACTCACAGAGTTTAACTTTTCTTTTCATTCAGCAGTTTGGAAACACTCTGTTTGGAAAGTCTGCACGTGGATATTTTGACCTCTTTGAGGCCTTCGTTGGAAACGGGTTTTTTTCATGTAAGGCTAGACAGAAGAAATCTCAGTAACTTCCTTGTGTTGTGTGTATTCAACTGACAGAGTTGAACCTTCCTTTAGACAGAGCAGATTCGAAACACTCTTTTTCTGCAATTTGCAAGTGGAGACTTCAAGCGCTTTGAGGCCAAAGGCAGAAAAGGAAATATCTTCGTATAAAAACCCGACAGAATCATTCTCAGAAACTGCTCTGTGATGTGTGCGTTCAACTCACAGAGTTTAACTTTTCTTTTCATTCAGCAGTTTGGAAACACTCTGTTTGTAAAGTCTGCAAGTGGATATCTTGGCCTCTTAGAGGCCTTCGTTGGAAACGGGTTTTTTCATGTAAGGTTAGACAGAGGAATTCCCAGTAACTTCCTTGTGTTGTGTGCATTCAACTCACAGAGTTGAATGATTCTTTACACAGAGCAGATTTGAGACACTCTTTGGGTGGAATTTGTAAGTGGAGAATTCAGCCGCTTTGAGGTCAACGGTAGAAAAGGAAATATCTTCGTATAAAAACTAGACAGAATGATTCTCAGAAACTGTTTTGTGATGTGTGCTTTCAACTCACAGAGTTTAACCTTTCTTTTCAAAGAGCAGTTAGGAAACACTCTGTTTGTAAAGTCTGCAAGTGGATATTCAGACCTCTTTGAGGCCTTCGTTGGAAACGGGATTTCTTCATATTATGCTAGACAGATGAATTCTCAGTAACTTCCTTGTGTTGTGTGTATTCAACTCACAGAGTTGAACCATCCTTTACACAGAGCAGATTTGAAACACTGTTTTTCTGGAATTTGCAAGTGGAGATTTCAGCTGCTTTGAGGTCAATGGTAGAAAAGGAAATATCTTCGTATAAAAACTAGACAGAATGATTCTCAGAAACTCCTTTGTGATGTGTGCGTTCAACTCACAGAGTTTAACCTTTCTTTTCACAGAGCAGTTAGGAAACACTCTGTTTGTGAAGCCTGCCAGTGGATATTCGGACCTCTTTGAGGCCTTCGTTGGAAACGGGATTTCTTCATATTATGCTAGACAGAAGATTTCTCAGTAACTTCTTTGTGTTGTGTGTATGCAACTCACAGAGTTCAACCTTCCTTTAGACAGAGCAGATTTGAAACACTCTTTTTGTGGAATTTGCAAGTGGAGATTTCAAGCGCTTCGATGCCAATGGTAGAAAAGGAAATATCTTCGTATAAAAACAAGACAAACTCGTTCCCAGACACTGCGTAGTGATGTGTGTGTTTAACTCACAGAGTTTCACCTTTCTTTTCATACAGCATTCTGGAAACCCTCTGTTTGTAAAGTCTGCAAGTGGATATTTGGACCTCTTAGATGCCTTCGTTGGAAACGGGATTTCTTCATATAATGCTAGAGGGAAGAATTCTTAGTAACTTCTTTGTGTTGTGTGTATTCAACTGACAGAGTTGAACCTTCCTTTAGACAGAGCAGATTTGAAAGTCTCTTTTTGTGGAATTTGCAAGTGGAGATTTCAAGCGCTTTGAGGCCAAAAGCAGAAAAGGAAATATTTTCCTATAAAAACTAGACAGAATCTTTCTCAGAAACTGCTCTGGGATGTGTGCGTTCAACTCACAGAGTTTAACTTTTCTTTTCATTCAGCAGTTTGGAAACACTCTGTTTGGAAAGTCTGCACGTGGATATTTTGACCTCTTTGAGGCCTTCGTTGGAAACGGGTTTTTTTCATGTAACGCTAGACAGAAGAAATCTCAGTAACTTCCTTGTGTTATGTGTATTCAACTGACAGAGTTGAACCTTCCTTTAGACAGAGCAGATTCGAAACACTCTTTTTCTGCAATTTGCAAGTGGAGACTTCAAGCGCTTTGAGGCCAAAGGCAGAAAAGGAAATATCTTCGTATAAAAACCCGACAGAATCATTCTCAGAAACTGCTCTGTGATGTGTGCGTTCAACTCACAGAGTTTAACTTTTCTTTTCATTCAGCAGTTTGGAAACACTCTGTTTGTAAAGTCTGCAAGTGGATATCTTGGCCTCTTAGAGGCCTTCGTTGGAAACGGGTTTTTTCATGTAAGGTTAGACAGAGGAATTCCCAGTAACTTCCTTGTGTTGTGTGCATTCAACTCACAGAGTTGAATGATTCTTTACACAGAGCAGATTTGAGACACTCTTTTGGTGGAATTTGTAAGTGGAGAATTCAGCTGCTTTGAGGTCAACGGTAGAAAAGGAAATATCTTCATATAAAAACTAGACAGAATGATTCTCAGAAACTGTTTTGTGATGTGTGCGTTCAACTCACAGAGTTTAACCTTTCTTTTCAAAGAGCAGTTAGGAAACACTCTGTTTGTAAAGTCTGCAAGTGGATATTCAGACCTCTTTGAGGCCTTCGTTGGAAACGGGATTTCTTCATATTATGCTAGACAGATGAATTCTCAGTAACTTCCTTGTGTTGTGTGTATTCAACTCACAGAGTTGAACGATCCTTTACACAGAGCAGATTTGAAACACTGTTTTTCTGGAATTTGCAAGTGGAGATTTCAGCTGCTTTGAGGTCAATGGTAGAAAAGGAAATATCTTCGTATAAAAACTAGACAGAATGATTCTCAGAAACTCCTTTGTGATGTGTGCGTTCAACTCACAGAGTTTAACCTTTCTTTTCACAGAGCAGTTAGGAAACACTCTGTTTGTGAAGCCTGCCAGTGGATATTCGGACCTCTTTGAGGCCTTCGTTGGAAACGGGATTTCTTCATATTATGCTAGACAGAAGATTTCTCAGTAACTTCTTTGTGTTGTGTGTATGCAACTCACAGAGTTCAACCTTCCTTTAGACAGAGCAGATTTGAAACACTCTTTTTGTGGAATTTGCAAGTGGAGATTTCAAGCGCTTCGATGCCAATGGTAGAAAAGGAAATATCTTCGTATAAAAACAAGACAAACTCGTTCCCAGACACTGCGTAGTGATGTGTGTGTTTAACTCACAGAGTTTCACCTTTCTTTTCATACAGCATTCTGGAAACCCTGTGTTTGTAAAGTCTGCAAGTGGATATTTGGACCTCTTAGATGCCTTCGTTGGAAACGGGATTTCTTCATATAATGCTAGAGGGAAGAATTCTTAGTAACTTCTTTGTGTTGTGTGTATTCAACTGACAGAGTTGAACCTTCCTTTAGACAGAGCAGATTTGAAAGTCTCTTTTTGTGGAATTTGCAAGTGGAGATTTCAAGCGCTTTGAGGCCAAAAGCAGAAAAGGAAATATTTTCCTATAAAAACTAGACAGAATCTTTCTCAGAAACTGCTCTGGGATGTGTGCGTTCAACTCACAGAGTTTAACTTTTCTTTTCATTCAGCAGTTTGGAAACACTCTGTTTGGAAAGTCTGCACGTGGATATTTTGACCTCTTTGAGGCCTTCGTTGGAAACGGGTTTTTTTCATGTAAGGCTAGACAGAAGAAATCTCAGTAACTTCCTTGTGTTGTGTGTATTCAACTGACAGAGTTGAACCTTCCTTTAGACAGAGCAGATTCGAAACACTCTTTTTCTGCAATTTGCAAGTGGAGACTTCAAGCGCTTTGAGGCCAAAGGCAGAAAAGGAAATATCTTCGTATAAAAACCCGACAGAATCATTCTCAGAAACTGCTCTGTGATGTCTGCGTTCAACTCACAGAGTTTAACTTTTCTTTTCATTCAGCAGTTTGGAAACACTCTGTTTGTAAAGTCTGCAAGTGGATATCTTGGCCTCTTAGAGGCCTTCGTTGGAAACGGGTTTTTTCATGTAAGGATAGACAGAGGAATTCCCAGTAACTTCCTTGTGTTGTGTGCATTCAACTCACAGAGTTGAATGATTCTTTACACAGAGCAGATTTGAGACACTCTTTGGGTGGAATTTGTAAGTGGAGAATTCAGCCTCTTTGAGGTCAACGGTAGAAAAGGAAATACCTTCGTATAAAAACTAGACAGAATGATTCTCAGAAACTGTTTTGTGATGTGTGCGTTCAACTCACAGAGTTTAACCTTTCTTTTCAAAGAGCAGTTAGGAAACACTCTGTAAAGTCTGCAAGTGGATATTCAGACCTCTTTGAGGCCTTCGTTGGAAACGGGATTTCTTCATATTATGCTAGACAGATGAATTCTCAGTAACTTCCTTGTGTTGTGTGTATTCAACTCACAGAGTTGAACGATCCTTTACACAGAGCAGATTTGAAACACTGTTTTTCTGGAATTTGCAAGTGGAGATTTCAGCCGCTTTGAGGTCAATGGTAGAAAAGGAAATATCTTCGTATAAAAACTAGACAGAATGATTCTCAGAAACTCCTTTGTGATGTGTGCGTTCAACTCACAGAGTTTAACCTTTCTTTTCACAGAGCAGTTAGGAAACACTCTGTTTGTGAAGCCTGCCAGTGGATATTCAGACCTCTTTGAGGCCTTCGTTGGAAACGGGATTTCTTCATATTATGCTAGACAGAAGATTTCTCAGTAACTTCTTTGTGTTGTGTGTATGCAACTCACAGAGTTCAACCTTCCTTTAGACAGAGCAGATTTGAAACACTCTTTTTGTGGAATTTGCAAGTGGAGATTTCAAGCGCTTCGATGCCAATGGTAGAAAAGGAAATATCTTCGTATAAAAACAAGACAAACTCGTTCCCAGACACTGCGTAGTGATGTGTGTGTTTAACTCACAGAGTTTCACCTTTCTTTTCATACAGCATTCTGGAAACCCTGTGTTTGTAAAGTCTGCAAGTGGATATTTGGACCTCTTAGATGCCTTCGTTGGAAACGGGATTTCTTCATATAATGCTAGAGGGAAGAATTCTTAGTAACTTCTTTGTGTTGTGTGTATTCAACTGACAGAGTTGAACCTTCCTTTAGACAGAGCAGATTTGAAAGTCTCTTTTTGTGGAATTTGCAAGTGGAGATTTCAAGCGCTTTGAGGCCAAAAGCAGAAAAGGAAATATTTTCCTATAAAAACTCGACAGAATCTTTCTCAGAAACTGCTCTGGGATGTGTGCGTTCAACTCACAGAGTTTAACTTTTCTTTTCATTCAGCAGTTTGGAAACACTCTGTTTGGAAAGTCTGCACGTGGATATTTTGACCTCTTTGAGGCCTTCGTTGGAAACGGGTTTTTTTCATGTAAGGCTAGACAGAAGAAATCTCAGTAACTTCCTTGTGTTGTGTGTATTCAACTGACAGAGTTGAACCTTCCTTTAGACAGAGCAGATTCGAAACACTCTTTTTCTGTAATTTGCAAGTGGAGACTTCAAGCGCTTTGAGGCCAAAGGCAGAAAAGGAAATATCTTCGTATAAGAACCCGACAGAATCATTCTCAGAAACTGCTCTGTGATGTGTGCGTTCAACTCACAGAGTTTAACTTTTCTTTTCATTCAGCAGTTTGGAAACACTCTGTTTGTAAAGTCTGCAAGTGGATATCTTGGCCTCTTAGAGGCCTTCGTTGGAAGCGGGTTTTTTCATGTAAGGATAGACAGAGGAATTCCCAGTAACTTCCTTGTGTTGTATGCATTCAACTCACAGAGTTGAATGATTCTTTACACAGAGCAGATTTGAGACACTCTTTTGGTGGAATTTGAAAGTGGAGAATTCAGCCGCTTTGAGGTCAACGGTAGAAAAGGAAATATCTTCGTATAAAAACTAGAAAGAATGATTCTCAGAAACTGTTTTGTGATGTGTGCTTTCAACTCACAGAGTTTAACCTTTCTTTTCAAAGAGCAGTTAGGAAACACTCTGTTTGTAAAGTCTGCAAGTGGATATTCAGACCTCTTTGAGGCCTTCGTTGGAAACGGGATTTCTTCATATTATGCTAGACAGATGAATTCTCAGTAACTTTCCTTGTGTTGTGTGTATTCAACTCACAGAGTTGAACGATCCTTTACACAGAGCAGATTTGAAACACTGTTTTTCTGGAATTTGCAAGTGGAGATTTCAGCCGCTTTGAGGTCAATGGTAGAAAAGGAAATATGCTTCGTATAAAAACTAGACAGAATGATTCTCAGAAACTCCTTTGTGATGTGTGCGTTCAACTCACAGAGTTTAACCTTTCTTTTCACAGAGCAGTTAGGAAACACTCTGTTTGTGAAGCCTGCCAGTGGATATTCGGACCTCTTTGAGGCCTTCGTTGGAAACGGGATTTCTTCATATTATGCTAGACAGAAGATTTCTCAGTAACTTCTTTGGGTTGTGTGTATGCAACTCACAGAGTTCAACCTTCCTTTAGACAGAGCAGATTTGAAACACTCTTTTTGTGGAATTTGCAAGTGGAGATTTCAAGCGCTTCGATGCCAATGGTAGAAAAGGAAATATCTTCGTATAAAAACAAGACAAACTCGTTCCCAGACACTGCGTAGTGATGTGTGTGTTTAACTCACAGAGTTTAACCTTTCTTTTCATACAGCATTCTGGAAACCCTGTGTTTGTAAAGTCTGCAAGTGGATATTTGGACCTCTTAGATGCCTTCGTTGGAAACGGGATTTCTTCATATAATGCTAGAGGGAAGAATTCTTAGTAACTTCTTTGTGTTGTGTGTATTCAACTGACAGAGTTGAACCTTCCTTTAGACAGAGCAGATTTGAAAGTCTCTTTTTGTGGAATTTGCAAGTGGAGATTTCAAGCGCTTTGAGGCCAAAAGCAGAAAAGGAAATATTTTCCTATAAAAACTCGACAGAATCTTTCTCAGAAACTGCTCTGGGATGTGTGCGTTCAACTCACAGAGTTTAACTTTTCTTTTCATTCAGCAGTTTGGAAACACTCTGTTTGGAAAGTCTGCACGTGGATATTTTGACCTCTTTGAGGCCTTCGTTGGAAACGGGTTTTTTTCATGTAAGGCTAGACAGAAGAAATCTCAGTAACTTCCTTGTGTTGTGTGTATTCAACTGACAGAGTTGAACCTTCCTTTAGACAGAGCAGATTCGAAACACTCTTTTTCTGCAATTTGCAAGTGGAGACTTCAAGCGCTTTGAGGCCAAAGGCAGAAAAGGAAATATCTTCGTATAAAAACCCAACAGAATCATTCTCAGAAACTGCTCTGTGATGTGTGCGTTCAACTCACAGAGTTTAACTTTTCTTTTCATTCAGCAGTTTGGAAACACTCTGTCTGTAAAGTCTGCAAGTGGATATCTTGGCCTCTTAGAGGCCTTCGTTGGAAACGGGTTTTTTCATGTAAGGTTAGACAGAGGAATTCCCAGTAACTTCCCTTGTGTTGTGTGCATTCAACTCACAGAGTTGAATGATTCTTTACACAGAGCAGATTTGAGACACTCTTTTGGTGGAATTTGTAAGTGGAGAATTCAGCCGCTTTGAGGTCAACGGTAGAAAAGGAAATATCTTCGTATAAAAACTAGACAGAATGATTCTCAGAAACTGTTTTGTGATGTGTGCGTTCAACTCACAGAGTTTAACCTTTCTTTTCAAAGAGCAGTTAGGAAACACTCTGTTTGTAAAGTCTGCAAGTGGATATTCAGACCTACTTTAAAGCCTTCGTTGGAAACGGGATTTCATCATATTATGCTAGACAGATGAATTCTCAGTAACTTCCTTGTGTTGTGTGTATTCAACTCACAGAGTTGAACGATCCTTTACACAGAGCAGATTTGAAACACTGTTTTTCTGGAATTTGCAAGTGGAGATTTCAGCCGCTTTGAGGTCAATGGTAGAAAAGGAAATATCTTCTGTATAAAAACTAGACAGAATGATTCTCAGAAACTCCTTTGTGATGTGTGCGTTCAACTCACAGAGTTTAACCTTTCTTTTCACAGAGCAGTTAGGAAACACTCTGTTTGTGAAGCCTGCCAGTGGATATTCGGACCTCTTTGAGGCCTTCGTTGGAAACGGGATTTCTTCATATTATGCTAGACAGAAGATTTCTCAGTAACTTCTTTGTGTTGTGTGTATGCAACTCACAGAGTTCAACCTTCCTTTAGACAGAGCAGATTTGAAACACTCTTTTTGTGGAATTTGCAAGTGGAGATTTCAAGCGCTTCGATGCCAATGGTAGAAAAGGAAATATCTTCGTATAAAAACAAGACAAACTCGTTCCCAGACACTGCGTAGTGATGTGTGTGTTTAACTCACAGAGTTTAACCTTTCTTTTCATACAGCATTTTGGAAACCCTGTGTTTGTAAAGTCTGCAAGTGGATATTTGGACCTCTTAGATGCCTTCGTTGGAAACGGGATTTCTTCATATAATGCTAGAGGGAAGAATTCTTAGTAACTTCTTTGTGTTGTGTGTATTCAACTGACAGAGTTGAACCTTCCTTTAGACAGAGCAGATTTGAAAGTCTCTTTTTGTGGAATTTGCAAGTGGAGATTTCAAGCGCTTTGAGGCCAAAAGCAGAAAAGGAAATATTTTCCTATAAAAACTCGACAGAATCTTTCTCAGAAACTGCTCTGGGATGTGTGCGTTCAACTCACAGAGTTTAACTTTTCTTTTCATTCAGCAGTTTGGAAACACTCTGTTTGGAAAGTCTGCACGTGGATATTTTGACCTCTTTGAGGCCTTCGTTGGAAACGGGTTTTTTTCATGTAAGGCTAGACAGAAGAAATCTCAGTAACTTCCTTGTGTTGTGTGTATTCAACTGACAGAGTTGAACCTTCCTTTAGACAGAGCAGATTCGAAACACTCTTTTTCTGCAATTTGCAAGTGGAGACTTCAAGCGCTTTGAGGCCAAAGGCAGAAAAGGAAATATCTTCGTATAAAAACCCGACAGAATCATTCTCAGAAACTGCTCTGTGATGTGTGCGTTCAACTCACAGAGTTTAACTTTTCTTTTCATTCAGCAGTTTGGAAACACTCTGTTTGTAAAGTCTGCAAGTGGATATCTTGGCCTCTTAGAGGCCTTCGTTGGAAACGGGTTTTTTCATGTAAGGTTAGACAGAGGAATTCCCAGTAACTTCCTTGTGTTGTGTGCATTCAACTCACAGAGTTGAATGATTCTTTACACAGAGCAGTTTTGAGACACTCTTTTGGTGGAATTTGTAAGTGGAGAATTCAGCCGCTTTGATGTCAACGGTAGAAAAGGAAATATCTTCGTATAAAAACTAGACAGAATGATTCTCAGAAACTGTTTTGTGATGTGTGCGTTCAACTCACAGAGTTTAACCTTTCTTTTCAAAGAGCAGTTAGGAAACACTCTGTTTGTAAAGTCTGCAAGTGGATATTCAGACCTCTTTGAGGCCTTCGTTGGAAACGGGATTTCTTCATATTATGCTAGACAGATGAATTCTCAGTAACTTCCTTGTGTTGTGTGTATTCAACTCACAGAGTTGAACGATCCTTTACACAGAGCAGATTTGAAACATTGTTTTTCTGGAATTTGCAAGTGGAGATTTCAGCCGCTTTGAGGTCAATGGTAGAAAAGGAAATATCTTCGTATAAAAACTAGACAGAATGATTCTCAGAAACTCCTTTGTGATGTGTGCGTTCAACTCACAGAGTTTAACCTTTCTTTTCACAGAGCAGTTAGGAAACACTCTGTTTGTGAAGCCTGCCAGTGGATATTCGGACCTCTTTGAGGCCTTCGTTGGAAACGGGATTTCTTCATATTTTGCAAGACAGAAGATTTCTCAGTAACTTCTTTGTGTTGTGTGTATGCAACTCACAGAGTTCAACCTTCCTTTAGACAGAGCAGATTTGAAACACTCTTTTTGTGGAATTTGCAAGTGGAAATTTCAAGCGCATCGATGCCAATGGTAGAAAAGGAAATATCTTCGTATAAAAACAAGACAAACTCGTTCCCAGACACTGCGTAGTGATGTGTGTGTTTAACTCACAGAGTTTAACCTTTCTTTTCATACAGCATTCTGGAAACCCTCTGTTTGTAAAGTCTGCAAGTGGATATTTGGACCTCTTAGATGCCTTCGTTGGAAACGGGATTTCCTCATATAATGCTAGAGGGAAGAATTCTTAGTAACTTCTTTGTGTTGTGTGTATTCAACTGACAGAGTTGAACCTTCCTTTAGACAGAGCAGATTTGAAAGTCTCTTTTTGTGGAATTTGCAAGTGGAGATTTCAAGCGCTTTGAGGCCAAAAGCAGAAAAGGAAATATTTTCCTATAAAAACTAGACAGAATCTTTCTCAGAAACTGCTCTGGGATGTGTGCGTTCAACTCACAGAGTTTAACTTTTCTTTTCATTCAGCAGTTTGGAAACACTCTGTTTGGAAAGTCTGCACGTGGATATTTTGACCTCTTTGAGGCCTTCGTTGGAAACGGGTTTTTTTCATGTAAGGCTAGACAGAAGAAATCTCAGTAACTTCCTTGTGTTGTGTGTATTCAACTGACAGAGTTGAACCTTCCTTTAGACAGAGCAGATTCGAAACACTCTTTTTCTGCAATTTGCAAGTGGAGACTTCAAGCGCTTTGAGGCCAAAGGCAGAAAAGGAAATATCTTCGTATAAAAACCCGACAGAATCATTCTCAGAAACTGCTCTGTGATGTGTGCGTTCAACTCACAGAGTTTAACTTTTCTTTTCATTCAGCAGTTTGGAAACACTCTGTTTGTAAAGTCTGCAAGTGGATATCTTGGCCTCTTAGAGGCCTTCGTTGGAAACGGGTTTTTTCATGTAAGGTTAGACAGAGGAATTCCCAGTAACTTCCTTGTGTTGTGTGCATTCAACTCACAGAGTTGAATGATTCTTTACACAGAGCAGATTTGAGACACTCTTTTGGTGGAATTTGTAAGTGGAGAATTCAGCCGCTTTGAGGTCAACGGTAGAAAAGGAAATATCTTCGTATAAAAACTAGACAGAATGATTCTCAGAAACTGTTTTGTGATGTGTGCGTTCAACTCACAGAGTTTAACCTTTATTTTCAGAGAGCAGTTAGGAAACACTCTGTTTGTAAATTCTGCAAGTGGATATTCAGACCTCTTTGAGGCCTTCGTTGGAAACGGGATTTCATCATATTATGCTAGACAGATGAATTCTCAGTAACTTCCTTGTGTTGTGTGTATTCAACTCACAGAGTTGAACGATCCTTTACACAGAGCAGATTTGAAACACTGTTTTTCTGGAATTTGCAAGTGGAGATTTCAGCCGCTTTGAGGTCAATGGTAGAAAAGGAAATATCTTCGTATAAAAACTAGACAGAATGATTCTCAGAAACTCCTTTGTGATGTGTGCATTCAACTCACAGAGTTTAACCTTTCTTTTCACTGAGCAGTTAGGAAACACTCTGTTTGTGAAGCCTGCCAGTGGATAATCGGACCTCTTTGAGGCCTTCGTTGGAAACGGGATTTCTTCATATTATGCTAGACAGAAGATTTCTCAGTAACTTCTTTGTGTTGTGTGTATGCAACTCACAGAGTTCAACCTTCCTTTAGAGAGAGCATATTTGAAACACTCTTTTTGTGGAATTTGCAAGTGGAGATTTCAAGCGCTTCGATGCCAATGGTAGAAAAGGAAATATCTTCGTATAAAAACAAGACAAACTCGTTCCCAGACACTGCGTAGTGATGTGTGTGTTTAACTCACAGAGTTTAACCTTTCTTTTCATACAGCATTCTTGAAACCCTGTGTTTGTAAAGTCTGCAAGTGGATATTTGGACCTCTTAGATGCCTTCGTTGGAAACGGGATTTCTTCATATAATGCTAGAGGGAAGAATTCTTAGTAACTTCTTTGTGTTGTGTGTATTCAACTGACAGAGTTGAACCTTCCTTTAGACAGAGCAGATTTGAAAGTCTCTTTTTGTGGAATTTGCAAGTGGAGATTTCAAGCGCTTTGAGGCCAAAAGCAGAAAAGGAAATATTTTCCTATAAAAACTAGACAGAATCTTTCTCAGAAACTGCTCTGGGATGTGTGCGTTCAACTCACAGAGTTTAACTTTTCTTTTCATTCAGCAGTTTGGAAACACTCTGTTTGGAAAGTCTGCACGTGGATATTTTGACATCTTTGAGGCCTTCGTTGGAAACGGGTTTTTTTCATGTAAGGCTAGACAGAAGAAATCTCAGTAACTTCCTTGTGTTGTGTGTATTCAACTGACAGAGTTGAACCTTCCTTTAGACAGAGCAGATTCGAAACACTCTTTTTCTGCAATTTGCAAGTGGAGACTTCAAGCGCTTTGAGGCCAAAGGCAGAAAAGGAAATATCTTCGTATAAAAACCCGACAGAATCATTCTCAGAAACTGCTCTGTGATGTGTGCGTTCAACTCACAGAGTTTAACTTTTCTTTTCATTCAGCAGTTTGGAAACACTCTGTTTGTAAAGTCTGCAAGTGGATATCTTGGCCTCTTAGAGGCCTTTGTTGGAAACGGGTTTTTTCATGTAAGGATAGACAGAGGAATTCCCAGTAACTTCCTTGTGTTGTGTGCATTCAACTCACAGAGTTGAATGATTCTTTACACAGAGCAGATTTGAGACACTCTTTTGGTGGAATTTGTAAGTGGAGAATTCAGCCGCTTTGAGGTCAACGGTAGAAAAGGAAATATCTTCGTATAAAAACTAGACAGAATGATTCTCAGAAACTGTTTGGTGATGTGTGCGTTCAACTCACAGAGTTTAACCTTTCTTTTCAAAGAGCAGTTAGGAAACACTCTGTTTGTAAAGTCTGCAAGTGGATATTCAGACCTCTTTGAGGCCTTCGTTGGAAACGGGATTTCTTCATATTATGCTAGACAGATGAATTCTCAGTAACTTCCTTGTGTTGTGTGTATTCAACTCACAGAGTTGAACGATCCTTTACACAGAGCAGATTTGAAACACTGTTTTTCTGGAATTTGCAAGTGGAGATTTCAGCCGCTTTGAGGTCAATGGTAGAAAAGGAAATATCTTCGTATAAAAACTAGACAGATAATGATTCTCAGAAACTCCTTTGTGATGTGTGCGTTCAACTCACAGAGTTTAACCTTTCTTTTCACAGAGCAGTTAGGAAACACTCTGTTTGTGAAGCCTGCCAGTGGATATTCAGACCTCTTTGAGGCCTTCGTTGGAAACGGGATTTCTTCATATTATGCTAGACAGAAGATTTCTCAGTAACTTCTTTGTGTTGTGTGTATGCAACTCACAGAGTTCAACCTTCCTTTAGACAGAGCAGATTTGAAACACTCTTTTTGTGGAATTTGCAAGTGGAGATTTCAAGCGCTTCGATGCCAATGGTAGAAAAGGAAATATCTTCGTATAAAAACAAGACAAACTCGTTCCCAGACACTGCGTAGTGATGTGTGTGTTTAACTCACAGAGTTTAACCTTTCTTTTCATACAGCATTCTGGAAACCCTGTGTTTGTAAAGTCTGCAAGTGGATATTTGGACCTCTTAGATGCCTTCGTTGGAAACGGGATTTCTTCATATAATGCTAGAGGGAAGAATTCTTAGTAACTTCTTTGTGTTGTGTGTATTCAACTGACAGAGTTGAACCTTCCTTTAGACAGAGCAGATTTGAAAGTCTCTTTTTGTGGAATTTGCAAGTGGAGATTTCAAGCGCTTTGAGGCCAAAAGCAGAAAAGGAAATATTTTCCTATAAAAACTAGACAGAATCTTTCTCAGAAACTGCTCTGGGATGTGTGCGTTCAACTCACAGAGTTTAACTTTTCTTTTCATTCAGCAGTTTGGAAACACTCTGTTTGGAAAGTCTGCACGTGGATATTTTGACCTCTTTGAGGCCTTCGTTGGAAACGGGTTTTTTTCATGTAAGGCTAGACAGAAGAAATCTCAGTAACTTCCTTGTGTTGTGTGTATTCAACTGACAGAGTTGAACCTTCCTTTAGACAGAGCAGATTCGAAACACTCTTTTTCTGCAATTTGCAAGTGGAGACTTCAAGCGCTTTGAGGCCAAAGGCAGAAAAGGAAATATCTTCGTATAAAAACCCGACAGAATCATTCTCAGAAACTGCTCTGTGATGTGTGCGTTCAACTCACAGAGTTTAACTTTTCTTTTCATTCAGCAGTTTGGAAACACTCTGTTTGTAAAGTCTGCAAGTGGATATCTTGGCCTCTTAGAGGCCTTCGTTGGAAACGGGTTTTTTCATGTAAGGATAGACAGAGGAATTCCCAGTAACTTCCTTGTGTTGTGTGCATTCAACTCACAGAGTTGAATGATTCTTTACACAGAGCAGATTTGAGACACTCTTTTGGTGGAATTTGTAAGTGGAGAATTCAGCCGCTTTGAGGTCAACGGTAGAAAAGGAAATATCTTCGTATAAAAACTAGACAGAATGATTCTCAGAAACTGTTTTGTGATGTGTGCGTTCAACTCACAGAGTTTAACCTTTCTTTTCAAAGAGCAGTTAGGAAACACTCTGTTTGTAAAGTCTGCAAGTGGATATTCAGACCTCTTTGAGGCCTTCGTTGGAAACGGGATTTCTTCATATTATGCTAGACAGATGAATTCTCAGTAACTTCCTTGTGTTGTGTGTATTCAACTCACAGAGTTGAACGATCCTTTACACAGAGCAGATTTGAAACACTGTTTTTCTGGAATTTGCAAGTGGAGATTTCAGCCGCTTTGAGGTCAATGGTAGAAAAGGAAATATCTTCGTATAAAAACTAGACAGAATGATTCTCAGAAACTCCTTTGTGATGTGTGCGTTCAACTCACAGAGTTTAACCTTTCTTTTCACAGAGCAGTTAGGAAACACTCTGTTTGTGAAGCCTGCCAGTGGATATTCGGACCTCTTTGAGGCCTTCGTTGGAAACGGGATTTCTTCATATTATGCTAGACAGAAGATTTCTCAGTAACTTCTTTGTGTTGTGTGTATGCAACTCACAGAGTTCAACCTTCCTTTAGACAGAGCAGATTTGAAACACTCTTTTTGTGGAATTTGCAAGTGGAGATTTCAAGCGCTTCGATGCCAATGGTAGAAAAGGAAATATCTTCGTATAAAAACAAGACAAACTCGTTCCCAGACACTGCGTAGTGATGTGTGTGTTTAACTCACAGAGTTTCACCTTTCTTTTCATACAGCATTCTGGAAACCCTCTGTTTGTAAAGTCTGCAAGTGGATATTTGGACCTCTTAGATGCCTTCGTTGCAAACGGGATTTCTTCATATAATGCTAGAGGGAAGAATTCTTAGTAACTTCTTTGTGTTGTGTGTATTCAACTGACAGAGTTGAACCTTCCTTTAGACAGAGCAGATTTGAAAGTCTCTTTTTGTGGAATTTGCAAGTGGAGATTTCAAGCGCTTTGAGGCCAAAAGCAGAAAAGGAAATATTTTCCTATAAAAACTCGACAGAATCTTTCTCAGAAACTGCTCTGGGATGTGTGCGTTCAACTCACAGAGTTTAACTTTTCTTTTCATTCAGCAGTTTGGAAACACTCTGTTTGGAAAGTCTGCACGTGGATATTTTGACCTCTTTGAGGCCTTCGTTGGAAACGGGTTTTTTTCATGTAAGGCTAGACAGAAGAAATCTCAGTAACTTCCTTGTGTTGTGTGTATTCAACTGACAGAGTTGAACCTTCCTTTAGACAGAGCAGATTCGAAACACTCTTTTTCTGCAATTTGCAAGTGGAGACTTCAAGCGCTTTGAGGCCAAAGGCAGAAAAGGAAATATCTTCGTATAAAAACCCGACAGAATCATTCTCAGAAACTGCTCTGTGATGTGTGCGTTCAACTCACAGAGTTTAACTTTTCTTTTCATTCAGCAGTTTGGAAACACTCTGTTTGTAAAGTCTGCAAGTGGATATCTTGGCCTCTTAGAGGCCTTCGTTGGAAACGGGTTTTTTCATGTAAGGATAGACAGAGGAATTCCCAGTAACTTCCTTGTGTTGTGTGCATTCAACTCACAGAGTTGAATGATTCTTTACACAGAGCAGATTTGAGACACTCTTTTGGTGGAATTTGTAAGTGGAGAATTCAGCCGCTTTGAGGTCAACGGTAGAAAAGGAAATATCTTCGTATAAAAACTAGACAGAATGATTCTCAGAAACTGTTTTGTGATGTGTGCGTTCAACTCACAGAGTTTAACCTTTCTTTTCAAAGAGCAGTTAGGAAACACTCTGTTTGTAAAGTCTGCAAGTGGATATTCAGACCTCTTTGAGGCCTTCGTTGGAAACGGGATTTCTTCATATTATGCTAGACAGATGAATTCTCAGTAACTTCCTTGTGTTGTGTGTATTCAACTCACAGAGTTGAACGATCCTTTACACAGAGCAGATTTGAAACACTGTTTTTCTGGAATTTGCAAGTGGAGATGTCAGCCGCTTTGAGGTCAATGGTAGAAAAGGAAATATCTTCGTATAAAAACTAGACAGAATGATTCTCAGAAACTCCTTTGTGATGTGTGCGTTCAACTCACAGAGTTTAACCTTTCTTTTCACAGAGCAGTTAGGAAACACTCTGTTTGTGAAGCCTGCCAGTGGATATTCGGACCTCTTTGAGGCCTTCGTTGGAAACGGGATTTCTTCATATTTTGCTAGACAGAAGATTTCTCAGTAACTTCTTTGTGTTGTGTGTATGCAACTCACAGAGTTCAACCTTCCTTTAGAGAGAGCATATTTGAAACACTCTTTTTGTGGAATTTGCAAGTGGAGATTTCAAGCGCTTCGATGCCAATGGTAGAAAAGGAAATATCTTCGTATAAAAACAAGACAAACTCGTTCCCAGACACTGCGTAGTGATGTGTGTGTTTAACTCACAGAGTTTAACCTTTCTTTTCATACAGCATTCTGGAAACCCTGTGTTTGTAAAGTCTGCAAGTGGATATTTGGACCTCTTAGATGCCTTCGTTGGAAACGGGATTTCTTCATATAATGCTAGAGGGAAGAATTCTTAGTAACTTCTTTGTGTTGTGTGTATTGAACTGACAGAGTTGAACCTTCCTTTAGACAGAGCAGATTTGAAAGTCTCTTTCTGTGGAATTTGCAAGTGGAGATTTCAAGCGCTTTGAGGCCAAAAGCAGAAAAGGAAATATTTTCCTATAAAAACTCGACAGAATCTTTCTCAGAAACTGCTCTGGGATGTGTGCGTTCAACTCACAGAGTTTAACTTTTCTTTTCATTCAGCAGTTTGGAAACACTCTGTTTGGAAAGTCTGCACGTGGATATTTTGACCTCTTTGAGGCCTTCGTTGGAAACGGGTTTTTTTCATGTAAGGCTAGACAGAAGAAATCTCAGTAACTTCCTTGTGTTGTGTGTATTCAACTGACAGAGTTGAACCTTCCTTTAGACAGAGCAGATTCGAAACACTCTTTTTCTGCAATTTGCAAGTGGAGACTTCAAGCGCTTTGAGGCCAAAGGCAGAAAAGGAAATATCTTCGTATAAAAACCCGACAGAATCATTCTCAGAAACTGCTCTGTGATGTGTGCGTTCAACTCACAGAGTTTAACTTTTCTTTTCATTCAGCAGTTTGGAAACACTCTGTTTGTAAAGTCTGCAAGTGGATATCTTGGCCTCTTAGAGGCCTTCGTTGGAAACGGGTTTTTTCATGTAAGGTTAGACAGAGGAATTCCCAGTAACTTCCTTGTGTTGTGTGCATTCAACTCACAGAGTTGAATGATTCTTTACACAGAGCAGTTTTGAGACACTCTTTTGGTGGAATTTGTAAGTGGAGAATTCAGCCGCTTTGAGGTCAACGGTAGAAAAGGAAATATCTTCGTATAAAAACTAGACAGAATGATTCTCAGAAACTGTTTTGTGATGTGTGCGTTCAACTCACAGAGTTTAACCTTTCTTTTCAAAGAGCAGTTAGGAAACACTCTGTTTGTAAAGTCTGCAAGAGGATATTCAGACCTCTTTGAGGCCTTCGTTGGAAACGGGATTTCTTCATATTATGCTAGACAGATGAATTCTCAGTAACTTCCTTGTGTTGTGTGTATTCAACTCACAGAGTTGAACGATCCTTTACACAGAGCAGATTTGAAACACTGTTTTTCTGGAATTTGCAAGTGGAGATTTCAGCCGCTTTGAGGTCAATGGTAGAAAAGGAAATATCTTCGTATAAAACTAGACAGAATGATTCTCAGAAACTCCTTTGTGATGTGTGCGTTCAACTCACAGAGTTTAACCTTTCTTTTCACAGAGCAGTTAGGAAACACTCTGTTTGTGAAGCCTGCCAGTGGATATTCGGACCTCTTTGAGGCCTTCGTTGGAAACGGGATTTCTTCATATTATGCTAGACAGAAGATTTCTCAGTAACTTCTTTGTGTTGTGTGTATGCAACTCACAGAGTTCAACCTTCCTTTAGACAGAGCAGATTTGAAACACTCTTTTTGTGGAATTTGCAAGTGGAGATTTCAAACGCTTCGATGCCAATGGTAGAAAAGGAAATATCTTCGTATAAAAACAAGACAAACTCGTTCCCAGACACTGCGTAGTGATGTGTGTGTTTAACTCACAGAGTTTAACCTTTCTTTTCATACAGCATTCTGGAAACCCTGTGTTTGTAAAGTCTGCAAGTGGATATTTGGACCTCTTAGATGCCTTCTTTGGAAACGGGATTTCTTCATATAATGCTAGAGGGAAGAATTCTTAGTAACTTCTTTGTGTTGTGTGTATTCAACTGACAGAGTTGAACCTTCCTTTAGATAGAGCAGATTTGAAAGTCTCTTTTTGTGGAATTTGCAAGTGGAGATTTCAAGCGCTTTGAGGCCAAAAGCAGAAAAGGAAATATTTTCCTATAAAAACTAGACAGAATCTTTCTCAGAAACTGCTCTGGGATGTGTGCGTTCAACTCACAGAGTTTAACTTTTCTTTTCATTCAGCAGTTTGGAAACACTCTGTTTGGAAAGTCTGCACAGTGGATATTTTGACCTCTTTGAGGCCTTCGTTGGAAACGGGTTTTTTTCATGTAAGGCTAGACAGAAGAAATCTCAGTAACTTCCTTGTGTTGTGTGTATTCAACTGACAGAGTTGAACCTTCCTTTAGACAGAGCAGATTCGAAACACTCTTTTTCTGCAATTTGCAAGTGGAGACTTCAAGCGCTTTGAGGCCAAAGGCAGAAAAGGATATATCTTCGTATAAAAACCCGACAGAATCATTCTCAGAAACTGCTCTGTGATGTGTGCGTTCAACTCACAGAGTTTAACTTTTCTTTTCATTCAGCAGTTTGGAAACACTCTGTTTGTAAAGTCTGCAAGTGGATATCTTGGCCTCTTAGAGGCCTTCGTTGGAAACGGGTTTTTTCATATAAGGTTAGACAGAGGAATTCCCAGTAACTTCCTTGTGTTGTGTGCATTCAACTCACAGAGTTGAATGATTCTTTACACAGAGCAGATTTGAGACACTCTTTGGGTGGAATTTGTAAGTGGAGAATTCAGCCGCTTTGAGGTCAACGGTAGAAAAGGAAATATCTTCGTATAAAAACTAGACAGAATGATTCTCAGAAACTGTTTTGTGATGTGTGCGTTCAACTCACAGAGTTTAACCTTTCTTCTCAAAGAGCAGTTAGGAAACACTCTGTAAAATCTGCAAGTGGATATGCAGACCTCTTTGAGGCCTTCGTTGGAAACGGGATTTCTTCATATAATGCTAGAGGGAAGAATTCTTAGTAACTTCTTTGTGTTGTGTGTATTGAACTGACAGAGTTGAACCTTCCTTTAGACAGAGCAGATTTGAAAGTCTCTTTTTGTGGAATTTGCAAGTGGAGATTTCAAGCGCTTTGAGGCCAAAAGCAGAAAAGGAAATATTTTCTTATAAAAACTAGAGAGAATCATTCTCAGAAACTGCTCTGTGATGTGTGTGTTCAACTCACAGAGTTTAACTTTCTTTTCATTCAGCAGTTTGGAAACACTCTGTTTGGAAAGTCTGCACGTGGATATTTTGACCTCTTTGAGGCCTTCGTTGGAAACGGGTTTTTTTCATGTAAGGCTAGACAGAAGAAATCTCAGTAACTTCCTTGTGTTGTGTGTATTCAACTGACAGAGTTGAACCTTCCTTTAGACAGAGCAGATTCGAAACGCTCTTTTTCTGCAATTTGCAAGTGGAGACTTCAAGCGCTTTGAGGCCAAAGGCAGAAAAGGAAATATCTTCGTATAAAAACCCGACAGAATCATTCTCAGAAACTGCTCTGTGATGTGTGCGTTCAACTCACAGAGTTTAACTTTTCTTTTCATTCAGCAGTTTGGAAACACTCTGTTTGTAAAGTCTGCAAGTGGATATCTTGGCCTCTTAGAGGCCTTCGTTGGAAACGGGTTTTTTCATGTAAGGTTAGACAGAGGAATTCCCAGTAACTTCCTTGTGTTGTGTGCATTCAACTCACAGAGTTGAATGATTCTTTACACAGAGCAGATTTGAGACACACTTTTGGTGGAATTTGTAAGTGGAGAATTCAGCCGCTTTGAGGTCAACGGTAGAAAAGGAAATATCTTCGTATAAAAACTAGAAAGAATGATTCTCAGAAACTGTTTTGTGATGTGTGCGTTCAACTCACAGAGTTTAACCTTTCTTTTCAAAGAGCAGTTAGGAAACACTCTGTTTGTAAAGTCTGCAAGTGGATATTCAGACCTCTTTGAGGCCTTCGTTGGAAACGGGATTTCTTCATATTATGCTAGACAGATGAATTCTCAGTAACTTCCTTGTGTTGTGTGTATTCAACTCACAGAGTTTAACGATCCTTTACACAGAGCAGATTTGAAACACTGTTTTTCTGGAATTTGCAAGTGGAGATTTCAGCCGCTTTGAGGTCAATGGTAGAAAAGGAAATATCTTCGTATAAAAACTAGACAGAATGATTCTCAGAAACTCCTTTGTGATGTGTGCGTTCAACTCACAGAGTTTAACCTTTCTTTTCACAGAGCAGTTAGGAAACACTCTGTTTGTGAAGCCTGCCAGTGGATATTCGGACCTCTTTGAGGCCTTCGTTGGAAACGGGATTTCTTCATATTATGCTAGACAGAAGATTTCTCAGTAACTTCTTTGTGTTGTGTGTATGCAACTCACAGAGTTCAACCTTCCTTTAGACAGAGCAGATTTGAAACACTCTTTTTGTGGAATTTGCAAGTGGAGATTTCAAGCGCTTCGATGCCAATGGTAGAAAAGGAAATATCTTCGTATAAAAACAAGACAAACTCGTTCCCAGACACTGCGTAGTGATGTGTGTGTTTAACTCACAGAGTTTCACCTTTCTTTTCATACAGCATTCTGGAAACCCTCTGTTTGTAAAGTCTGCAAGTGGATATTTGGACCTCTTAGATGCCTTCGTTGGAAACGGGATTTCTTCATATAATGCTAGAGGGAAGAATTCTTAGTAACTTCTTTGTGTTGTGTGTATTCAACTGACAGAGTTGAACCTTCCTTTAGACAGAGCAGATTTGAAAGTCTCTTTTTGTGGAATTTGCAAGTGGAGATTTCAAGCGCTTTGAGGCCAAAAGCAGAAAAGGAAATATTTTCCTATAAAAACTAGACAGAATCATTCTCAGAAACTGCTCTGTGATGTGTGTGTTCAATTCACAGAGTTTAACTTTCTTTTCATTCAGCAGTTTGGAAACACTCTGTTTGGAAAGTCTGCACGTGGATATTTTGACCTCTTTGAGGCCTTCGTTGGAAACGGGTTTTTTTCATGTAAGGCTAGACAGAAGAAATCTCAGTAACTTCCCTTGTGTTGTGTGTATTCAACTGACAGAGTTGAACCTTCCTTTAGACAGAGCAGATTCGAAACACTCTTTTTCTGCAATTTGCAAGTGGAGACTTCAAGCGATTTGAGGCCAAAGGCAGAAAAGGAAATATCTTCGTATAAAAACCCGACAGAATCATTCTCAGAAACTGCTCTGTGATGTGTGCGTTCAACACACAGAGTTTAACTTTTCTTTTCATTCAGCAGTTTGGAAACACTCAGTTTGTAAAGTCTGCAAGTGGATATCTTGGCCTCTTAGAGGCCTTCGTTGGAAACGGGTTTTTTTCATGTAAGGTTAGACAGAGGAATTCCCAGTAACTTCCTTGTGTTGTGTGCATTCAACTCACAGAGTTGAATGATTCTTTACACAGAGCAGATTTGAGACACTCTTTTGGTGGAATTTGTTAGTGGAGAATTCAGCCGCTTTGAGGTCAACGGTAGAAAAGGAAATATCTTCGTATAAAAACTAGACAGAATGATTCTCAGAAACTGTTTTGTGATGTGTGCGTTCAACTCACAGAGTTTAACCTTTCTTTTCAAAGAGCAGTTAGGAAACACTCTGTTTGTAAAGTCTGCAAGCGGATATTCAGACCTCTTTGAGGCCTTCGTTGGAAACGGGATTTCTTCATATTATGCTAGACAGATGAATTCTCAGTAACTTCCTTGTGTTGTGTGTATTCAACTCACAGAGTTGAACGATCCTTTACACAGAGCAGATTTGAAACACTCTTTTTCTGGAATTTGCAAGTGGAGATTTCAGCCGCTTTGAGGTCAATGGTAGAAAAGGAAATATCTTCGTATAAAAACTAGACAGAATGATTCTCAGAAACTCCTTTGTGATGTGTGCGTTCAACTCACAGAGTTTAACCTTTCTTTTCACAGAGCAGTTAGGAAACACTCTGTTTGTGAAGCCTGCCAGTGGATATTCGGACCTCCTTGAGGCCTTCGTTGGAAACGGGATTTCTTCATATTATGCTAGACAGAAGATTTCTCAGTAACTTCTTTGTGTTGTGTGTATGCAACTCACAGAGTTCAACCTTCCTTTAGACAGAGCAGATTTGAAACACTCTTTTTGTGGAATTTGCAAGTGGAGATTTCAAGCGCTTCGATGCCAATGGTAGAAAAGGAAATATCTTCGTATAAAAACAAGACAAACTCGTTCCCAGACACTGCGTAGTGATGTGTGTGTTTAACTCACAGAGTTTAACCTTTCTTTTCATACAACATTCTGGAAACCCTCTGTTTGTAAAGTCTGCAAGTGGATATTTGGACCTCTTAGATGCCTTCGTTGGAAACGGGATTTCTTCATATAATGCTAGAGGGAAGAATTCTTAGTAACTTCTTTGTGTTGTGTGTATTCAACTGACAGAGTTGAACCTTCCTTTAGACAGAGCAGATTTGAAAGTCTCTTTTTGTGGAATTTGCAAGTGGAGATTTCAAGCGCTTTGAGGCCAAAAGCAGAAAAGGAAATATTTTCCTATAAAAACTAGACAGAATCATTCTCAGAAACTGCTCTGTGATGTGTGTGTTCAACTCACAGAGTTTAACTTTCTTTTCATTCAGCAGTTTGGAAACACTCTGTTTGGAAAGTCTGCACGTGGATATTTTGACCTCTTTGAGGCCTTCGTTGGAAACGGGTTTTTTTCATGTAAGGCTAGACAGAAGAAATCTCAGTAACTTCCTTGTGTTGTGTGTATTCAACTGACAGAGTTGAACCTTCCTTTAGACAGAGCAGATTCGAAACGCTCTTTTTCTGCAATTTGCAAGTGGAGACTTCAAGCGCTTTGCGGCCAAAGGCAGAAAAGGAAATATCTTCGTATAAAAACCCGACAGAATCATTCTCAGAAACTGCTCTGTGATGTGTGCGTTCAACTCACAGAGTTTAACTTTTCTTTTCATTCAGCAGTTTGGAAACACTCTGTTTGTAAAGTCTGCAAGTGGATATCTTGGCCTCTTAGAGGCCTTCGTTGGAAACGCGTTTTTTCATGTAAGGTTAGACAGAGGAATTCCCAGTAACTTCCTTGTGTTGTGTGCATTCAACTCACAGAGTTGAATGATTCTTTACACAGAGCAGATTTGAGACACTCTTTTGGTGGAATTTGTAAGTGGAGAATTCAGCCGCTTTGAGGTCAACGGTAGAAAAGGAAATATCTTCGTATAAAAACTAGACAGAATGATTCTCAGAAACTGTTTTGTGATGTGTGCGTTCAACTCACAGAGTTTAACCTTTCTTTTCAAAGAGCAGTTAGGAAACACTCTGTTTGTAAAGTCTGCAAGTGGATATTCAGACCTCTTTGAGGCCTTCGTTTGAAACGGGATTTCTTCATATTATGCTAGACAGATGAATTCTCAGTAACTTCCTTGTGTTGTGTGTATTCAACTCACAGAGTTGAACGATCCTTTACACAGAGCAGATTTGAAACACTGTTTTTCTGGAATTTGCAAGTGGAGATTTCAGCCGCTTTGAGGTCAATGGTAGAAAAGGAAATATCTTCGTATAAAAACTAGACAGAATGATTCTCAGAAACTCCTTTGTGATGTGTGCGTTCAACTCACAGAGTTTAACCTTTCTTTTCACAGAGCAGTTAGGAAACACTCTGTTTGTGAAGCCTGCCAGTGGATATTCGGACCTCTTTGAGGCCTTCGTTGGAAACGGGATTTCTTCATATTATGCTAGACAGAAGATTTCTCAGTAACTTCTTTGTGTTGTGTGTATGCAACTCACAGAGTTCAACCTTCCTTTAGACAGAGCAGATTTGAAACACTCTTTTTGTGGAATTTGCAAGTGGAGATTTCAAGCGCTTCGATGCCAATGGTAGAAAAGGAAATATCTTCGTATAAAAACAAGACAAACTCGTTCCCAGACACTGCGTAGTGATGTGTGTGTTTAACTCACAGAGTTTAACCTTTCTTTTCATACAGCATTCTGGAAACCCTGTGTTTGTAAAGTCTGCAAGTGGATATTTGGACCTCTTAGATGCCTTCGTTGGAAACGGGATTTCTTCATATAATGCTAGAGGGAAGAATTCTTAGTAACTTCTTTGTGTTGTGTGTATTCAACTGACAGAGTTGAACCTTCCTTTAGACAGAGCAGATTTGAAAGTCTCTTTTTGTGGAATTTGCAAGTGGAGATTTCAAGCGCTTTGAGGCCAAAAGCAGAAAAGGAAATATTTTCCTATAAAAACTAGACAGAATCTTTCTCAGAAACTGCTCTGGGATGTGTGCGTTCAACTCACAGAGTTTAACTTTTCTTTTCATTCAGCAGTTTGGAAACACTCTGTTTGGAAAGTCTGCACGTGGATATTTTGACCTCTTTGAGGCCTTCGTTGGAAACGGGTTTTTTTCATGTAAGGCTAGACAGAAGAAATCTCAGTAACTTCCTTGTGTTGTGTGTATTCAACTGACAGAGTTGAACCTTCCTTTAGACAGAGCAGATTCGAAACACTCTTTTTCTGCAATTTGCAAGTGGAGACTTCAAGCGCTTTGAGGCCAAAGGCAGAAAAGGAAATATCTTCGTATAAAAACCCGACAGAATCATTCTCAGAAACTGCTCTGTGATGTGTCCGTTCAACTCACAGAGTTTAACTTTTCTTTTCATTCAGCAGTTTGGAAACACTCTGTTTGTAAAGTCTGCAAGTGGATATCTTGGCCTCTTAGAGGCCTTCGTTGGAAACGGGTTTTTTCATGTAAGGTTAGACAGAGGAATTCCCAGTAACTTCCTTGTGTTGTGTGCATTCAACTCACAGAGTTGAATGATTCTTTACACAGAGCAGATTTGAGACACTCTTTTGGTGGAATTTGTAAGTGGAGAATTCAGCCGCTTTGAGGTCAACGGTAGAAAAGGAAATATCTTCGTATAAAAACTAGACAGAATGATTCTCAGAAACTGTTTTGTGATGTGTGCGTTCAACTCACAGAGTTTAACCTTTCTTTTCAAAGAGCAGTTAGGAAACACTCTGTTTGTAAAGTCTGCAAGTGGATATTCAGACCTCTTTGAGGCCTTCGTTGGAAACGGGATTTCTTCATATTATGCTAGACAGATGAATTCTCAGTAACTTCCTTGTGTTGTGTGTATTCAACTCACAGAGTTGAACGATCCTTTACACAGAGCAGATTTGAAACACTGTTTTTCTGGAATTTGGAAGTGGAGATTTCAGCTGCTTTGAGGTCAATGGTAGAAAAGGAAATATCTTCGTATAAAAACTAGACAGAATGATTCTCAGAAACTCCTTTGTGATGTGTGCGTTCAACTCACAGAGTTTAACCTTTCTTTTCACAGAGCAGTTAGGAAACACTCTGTTTGTGAAGCCTGCCAGTGGATATTCGGACCTCTTTGAGGCCTTCGTTGGAAACGGGATTTCTTCATATTATGCTAGACAGAAGATTTCTCAGTAACTTCTTTGGGTTGTGTGTATGCAACTCACAGAGTTCAACCTTCCTTTAGACAGAGCAGATTTGAAACACTCTTTTTGTGGAATTTGCAAGTGGAGATTTCAAACGCTTCGATGCCAATGGTAGAAAAGGAAATATCTTCGTATAAAAACAAGACAAACTCGTTCCCAGACACTGCGTAGTGATGTGTGTGTTTAACTCACAGAGTTTAACCTTTCTTTTCATACAGCATTCTGGAAACCCTCTGTTTGTAAAGTCTGCAAGTGGATATTTGGACCTCTTAGATGCCTTCGTTGGAAACGGGATTTCTTCATATAATGCTAGAGGGAAGAATTCTTAGTAACTTCTTTGTGTTGTGTGTATTCAACTGACAGAGTTGAACCTTCTTTTAGACAGAGCAGATTTGAAAGTCTCTTTTTGTGGAATTTGCAAGTGGAGATTTCAAGCGCTTTGAGGCCAAAAGCAGAAAAGGAAATATTTTCCTATAAAAACTCGACAGAATCTTTCTCAGAAACTGCTCTGGGATGTGTGCGTTCAACTCACAGAGTTTAACTTTTCTTTTCATTCAGCAGTTTGGAAACACTCTGTTTGGAAAGTCTGCACGTGGATATTTTGACCTCTTTGAGGCCTTCGTTGGAAACGGGTTTTTTTTATGTAAGGCTAGACAGAAGAAATCTCAGTAACTTCCTTGTGTTGTGTGTATTCAACTGACAGAGTTGAACCTTCCTTTAGACAGAGCAGATTCGAAACACTCTTTTTCTGCAATTCGCAAGTGGAGACTTCAAGCGCTTTGAGGCCAAAGGCAGAAAAGGAAATATCTTCGTATAAAAACCCGACAGAATCATTCTCAGAAACTGCTCTGTGATGTGTGCGTTCAACTCACAGAGTTTAACTTTTCTTTTCATTCAGCAGTTTGGAAACACTCTGTTTGTAAAGTCTGCAAGTGGATATCTTGGCCTCTTAGAGGCCTTCGTTGGAAACGGGTTTTTTCATGTAAGGATAGACAGAGGAATTCCCAGTAACTTCCTTGTGTTGTGTGCATTCAACTCACAGAGTTGAATGATTCTTTACACAGAGCAGATTTGAGACACTCTTTTGGTGGAATTTGTAAGTGGAGAATTCAGCCGCTTTAAGGTCAACGGTAGAAAAGGAAATATCTTCGTATAAAAACTAGACAGAATGATTCTCAGAAACTGTTTTGTGATGTGTGCGTTCAACTCACACAGTTTAACCTTTCTTTTCAGAGAGCAGTTAGGAAACACTCTGTTTGTAAAGTCTGCAAGTGGATATTCAGACCTCTTTGAGGCCTTCGTTGGAAACGGGATTTCTTCATATTATGCTAGACAGATGAATTCTCAGTAACTTCCTTGTGTTGTGTGTATTCAACTCACAGAGTTGAACGATCCTTTACACAGAGCAGATTTGAAACACTGTTTTTCTGGAATTTGCAAGTGGAGATTTCAGCTGCTTTGAGGTCAATGGTAGAAAAGGAAATATCTTCGTATAAAAACTAGACAGAATGATTCTCAGAAACTCCTTTGTGATGTGTGCGTTCAACTCACAGAGTTTAACCTTTCTTTTCACAGAGCAGTTAGGAAACACTCTGTTTGTGAAGCCTGCCAGTGGATAATCGGACCTCTTTGAGGCCTTCGTTGGAAACGGGATTTCTTCATATTATGCTAGACAGAAGATTTCTCAGTAACTTCTTTGTGTTGTGTGTATGCAACTCACAGAGTTCAACCTTCCTTTAGACAGAGCAGATTTGAAACACTCTTTTTGTGGAATTTGCAAGTGGAGATTTCAAGCGCTTCGATGCCAATGGTAGAAAAGGAAATATCTTCGTATAAAAACAAGACAAACTCGTTCCCAGACACTGCGTAGTGATGTGTGTGTTTAACTCACAGAGTTTCACCTTTCTTTTCATACAGCATTCTGGAAACCCTCTGTTTGTAAAGTCTGCAAGTGGATATTTGGACCTCTTAGATGCCTTCGTTGGAAACGGGATTTCTTCATATAATGCTAGAGGGAAGAATTCTTAGTAACTTCTTTGTGTTGTGTGTATTCAACTGACAGAGTTGAACCTTCCTTTAGACAGAGCAGATTTGAAAGTCTCTTTTTGTGGAATTTGCAAGTGGAGATTTCAAGCGCTTTGAGGCCAAAAGCAGAAAAGGAAATATTTTCCTATACAAACTCGACAGAATCTTTCTCAGAAACTGCTCTGGGATGTGTGTGTTCAACTCACAGAGTTTAACTTTCTTTTCATTCAGCAGTTTGGAAACACTCTGTTTGGAAAGTCTGCACGTGGATATTTTGACCTCTTTGAGGCCTTCGTTGGAAACGGGTTTTTTTCATGTAAGGCTAGACAGAAGAAATCTCAGTAACTTCCTTGTGTTGTGTGTATTCAACTGACAGAGTTGAACCTTCCTTTAGACAGAGCAGATTCGAAACACTCTTTTTCTGCAATTTCCAAGTGGAGACTTCAAGCGCTTTGAGGCCAAAGGCAGAAAAGGAAATATCTTCGTATAAAAACCCGACAGAATCATTCTCAGAAACTGCTCTGTGATGTGTGCGTTCAACTCACAGAGTTTAACTTTTCTTTTCATTCAGCAGTTTGGAAACACTCTGTTTGTAAAGTCTGCAAGTGGATATCTTGGCCTCTTAGATGCCTTCGTTGGAAACGGGTTTTTTCATGTAAGGTTAGACAGAGGAATTCCCAGTAACTTCCTTGTGTTGTGTGCATTCAACTCACAGAGTTGAATGATTCTTTACACAGAGCAGATTTGAGACACTCTTTTGGTGGAATTTGTTAGTGGAGAATTCAGCCGCTTTGAGGTCAACGGTAGAAAAGGAAATATCTTCGTATAAAAACTAGACAGAATGATTCTCAGAAACTTTTTTGTGATGTGTGCGTTCAACTCACAGAGTTTAACCTTTCTTTTCAAAGAGCAGTTAGGAAACACTCTGTTTGTAAAGTCTGCAAGTGGATATTCAGACCTCTTTGAGGCCTTCGTTGGAAACGGGATTTCTTCATATTATGCTAGACAGATGAATTCTCAGTAACTTCCTTGTGTTGTGTGTATTCAACTCACAGAGTTGAACGATCCTTTACACAGAGAAGATTTGAAACACTGTTTTTCTGGAATTTGCAAGTGGAGATTTCAGCCGCTTTGAGGTCAATGGTAGAAAAAGAAATATCTTCGTATAAAAACTAGACAGAATGATTCTCAGAAACTCCTTTGTGATGTGTGCGTTCAACTCACAGAGTTTAACCTTTCTTTTCACAGAGCAGTTAGGAAACACTCTGTTTGTGAAGCCTGCCAGTGGATATTCGGACCTCTTTGAGGCCTTCGTTGGAAACGGGATTTCTTCATATTATGCTAGACAGAAGATTTCTCAGTAACTTCTTTGTGTTGTGTGTATGCAACTCACAGAGTTCAACCTTCCTTTAGACAGAGCAGATTTGAAACACTCTTTTTGTGGAATTTGCAAGTGGAGATTTCAAGCGCTTCGATGCCATTGGTAGAAAAGGAAATATCTTCGTATAAAAACAAGACAAACTCGTTCCCAGACACTGCGTAGTGATGTGTGTGTTTAACTCACAGAGTTTCACCTTTCTTTTCATACAGCATTCTGGAAACCCTGTGTTTGTAAAGTCTGCAAGTGGATATTTGGACCTCTTAGATGCCTTCGTTGGAAACGGGATTTCTTCATATAATGCTAGAGGGAAGAATTCTTAATAACTTCTTTGTGTGGTGTGTATTCAACTGACAGAGTTGAACCTTCCTTTAGACAGAGCAGATTTGAAAGTCTCTTTTTGTGGAATTTGCAAGTGGAGATTTCAAGCGCTTTGAGGCCAAAAGCAGAAAAGGAAATATTTTCCTATAAAAACTCGACAGAATCATTCTCAGAAACTGCTCTGTGATGTGTGCGTTCAACTCACAGAGTTTAACTTTTCTTTTCATTCAGCAGTTTGGAAACACTGTTTGGAAAGTCTGCACGTGGATATTTTGACCTCTTTGAGGCCTTCGTTGGAAACGGGTTTTTTTCATGTAAGGCTAGACAGAAGAAATCTCAGTAACTTCCTTGTGTTGTGTGTATTCAACTGACAGAGTTGAACCTTCCTTTAGACAGAGCAGATTTGAAACACTCTTTTTCTGCAATTTGCAAGTGGAGACTTCAAGCGCTTTGAGGCCAAAGGCAGAAAAGGAAATATCTTCGTATAAAAACCCGACAGAATCATTCTCAGAAACTGCTCTGTGATGTGTGCGTTCAACTCACAGAGTTTAACTTTTCTTTTCATTCAGCAGTTTGGAAACACTCTGTTTGTAAAGTCTGCAAGTGGATATCTTGGCCTCTTAGAGGCCTTCGTTGGAAACGGGTTTTTTCATGTAAGGTTAGACAGAGGAATTCCCAGTAACTTCCTTGTGTTGTGTGCATTCAACTCACAGAGTTGAATGATTCTTTAAACAGAGCAGATTTGAGACACTCTTTTGGTGGAATTTGTAAGTGGAGAATTCAGCCGCTTTGAGGTCAACGGTAGAAAAGGAAATATCTTTGTATAAAAACTAGACAGAATGATTCTCAGAAACTGTTTTGTGATGTGTGCGTTCAACTCACAGAGTTTAACCTTTCTTTTCAAAGAGCAGTTAGGAAACACTCTGTTTCTAAAGTCTGCAAGTGGATATTCAGACCTCTTTGAAGCCTTCGTTGGAAACGGGATTTCATCATATTATGCTAGACAGATGAATTCTCAGTAACTTCCTTGTGTTGTGTGTATTCAACTCACAGAGTTGAACGATCCTTTACACAGAGCAGATTTGAAACACTGTTTTTCTGGAATTTGCAAGTGGAGATTTCAGCCGCTTTGAGGTCAATGGTAGAAAAGGAAATATCTTCGTATAAAAACTGGACAGAATGATTCTCAGAAACTCCTTTGTGATGTGTGCGTTCAACTCACAGAGTTTAACCTTTCTTTTCACAGAGCAGTTAGGAAACACTCTGTTTGTGAAGCCTGCCAGTGGATATTCGGACCTCTTTGAGGCCTTCGTTGGAAACGGGATTTCTTCATATTATGCTAGACAGAAGATTTCTCAGTAACTTCTTCGTGTTGTGTGTATGCAACTCACAGAGTTCAACCTTCCTTTAGACAGAGCAGATTTGAAACACTCTTTTTGTGGAATTTGCAAGTGGAGATTTCAAGCGCTTCGATGCCAATGGTAGAAAAGGAAATATCTTCGTAGAAAAACAAGACAAACTCGTTCCCAGACACTGCGTACTGATGTGTGTGTTTAACTCACAGAGTTTAACCTTTCTGTTCATACAGCATTCTGGAAACCCTCTGTTTGTAAAGTCTGCAAGTGGATATTTGGACCTCTTAGATGCCTTCTTTGGAAACGGGATTTCTTCATATAATGCTAGAGGGAAGAATTCTTAGTAACTTCTTTGTGTTGTGTGTATTCAACTGACAGAGTTGAACCTTCCTTTAGACAGAGCAGATTTGAAAGTCTCTTTTTGTGGAATTTGCAAGTGGAGATTTCAAGCGCTTTGAGGCCAAAAGCAGAAAAGGAAATATTTTCCTATAAAAACTCGACAGAATCATTCTCAGAAACTGCTCTGTGATGTGTGCGTTCAACTCACAGAGCTTAACTTTTCTTTTCATTCAGCAGTTTGGAAACACTCTGTTTGGAAAGTCTGCACGTGGATATTTTGACCTCTTCGAGGCCTTCGTTGGAAACGGGTTTTTTTCATGTAAGGCTAGACAGAGAAAATCTCAGTAACTTCCTTGTGTTGTGTGTATTCAGTTGACAGGGTTGAACCTTCCTTTAGACAGAGCAGATTCGAAACACTCTTTTTCTGCAATTTGCAAGTGGAGACTTCTAGCGCATTGAGGCCAAAGGCAGAAAAGGAAATATCTTCGTATAAAAACCCGACAGAATCATTCTCAGAAACTGCTCTGTGATGTGTGCGTTCAACTCACAGAGTTTAAATTTCTTTTCATTCAGCAGTTTGGAAACACTCTGTTTGTAAAGTCTGCAAGTGGATATATTGGCCTCTTAGAGGCCTTCGTTGGAAACGGGTTTTTTTCATGTAAGGTTAGACAGAGGAATTCCCAGTAACTTCCTTGTGTTGTGTGCATTCAACTCACAGAGTTGAATGATTCTTTACACAGAGCAGATTTGAGACACTCTTTTGGTGGAATTTGTAAGTGGAGAATTCAGCCGCTTTGAGGTCAATGGTAGAAAAGGAAATATCTTCGTATAAAAACTAGACAGAATGATTCTCAGAAACTGTTTTGTGATGTGTGCGTTCAACTCACAGAGTTTAACCTTTCTTTTCAAAGAGCAGTTAGGAAACACTCTGTTTGTAAAGTCTGCAAGTGGATATTCAGACCTCTTTGAGGCCTTCGTTGGAAACGGGATTTCTTCATATTATGCTAGACAGATGAATTCTCAGTAACTTCCTTGTGTTGTGTGTATTCAACTCACAGAGTTGAACGATCCTTTACACAGAGCAGATTTGAAACACTGTTTTTCTGGAATTTGCAAGTGGAGATTTCAGCCGCTTTGAGGTCAATGGTAGAAAAAGAAATATCTTCGTATAAAAACTAGACAGAGTGATTCTCAGAAACTCCTTTGTGATGTGTGCGTTCAACTCACAGAGTTTAACCTTTCTTTTCACAGAGCAGTTAGGAAACACTCTGTTTGTGAAGCCTGCCAGTGGATATTCGGACCTCTTTGAGGCCTTCGTTGGAAACGGGATTTCTTCATATTATGCTAGACAGAAGATTTCTCAGTAACTTCTTTGTGTTGTGTGTATGCAACTCACAGAGTTCAACCTTCCTTTAGACAGAGCAGATTTGAAACACTCTTTTTGTGGAATTTGCAAGTGGAGACTTCAAGCGCTTCGATGCCAATGGTAGAAAAGGAAATATCTTCGTTTAAAAACAAGACAAACTCGTTCCCAGACACTGCGTAGTGATGTGTGTGTTTAACTCACAGAGTTTCACCTTTCTTTTCATACAGCATTCTGGAAACCCTCTGTTTGTAAAGTCTGCAAGTGGATATTTGGACCTCTTAGATGCCTTCGTTGGAAACGGGATTTCTTCATATAATGCTAGAGGGAAGAATTCTTAGTAACTTCTTTGTGTTGTGTGTATTCAACTGACAGAGTTGAACCTTCCTTTAGACAGAGCAGATTTGAAAGTCTCTTTTTGTGGAATTTGCAAGTGGAGATTTCAAGCGCTTTGAGGCCAAAAGCAGAAAAGGAAATATTTTCCTATAAAAACTCGACAGACTCATTCTCAGAAACTACTCTGTGATGTGTGCGTTCAACTCACAGAGTTTAACTTTTCTTTTCATTCAGCAGTTTGGAAACACTGTTTGGAAAGTCTGCACGTGGATATTTTGACCTCTTTAAGGCCTTCGTTGGAAACGGGTTATTTTTATGTAAGGCTAGACAGAAGAAATCTCAGTAACTTCCTTGTGTTGTGTGTATTCAACTGACAGAGTTGAACCTTCCTTTAGACAGAGCAGATTCGAAACACTCTTTTTCTGCAATTTGCAAGTGGAGACTTCAAGCGCTTTGAGGCCAAAGGCAGAAAAGGAAATATCTTCGTATAAAAACCCGACAGAATCATTCTCAGAAACTGCTCTGTGATGTGTGCGTTCAACTCACAGAGTTTAACTTTTCTTTTCATTCAGCAGTTTGGAAACACTCTGTTTGTAAAGTCTGCAAGTGGATATCTTGGCCTCTTAGATGCCTTCGTTGGAAACGGTTTTTTTCATGTAAGGTTAGACAGAGGAATTCCCAGTAACTTCCTTGTGTTGTGTGCATTCAACTCACAGAGTTGAATGATTCTTTACACAGAGCAGATTTGAGACACTCTTTTGGTGGAATTTGTAAGTGGAGAATTCAGCCGCTTTGAGGTCAACGGTAGAAAAGGAAATATCTTCGTATAAAAACTAGACAGAATGATTCTCAGAAACTGTTTTGTGATGTGTGCGTTCAACTCACAGAGTTTAACCTTTCTTTTCAAAGAGCAGTTAGGAAACACTCTGTTTGTAAAGTCTGCAAGCGGATATTCAGACCTCTTTGAGGCCTTCGTTGGAAACGGGATTTCTTCATATTATGCTAGACAGATGAATTCTCAGTAACTTCCTTGTGTTGTGTGTATTCAACGCACAGAGTTGAACGATCCTTTACACAGAGCAGATTTGAAACACTGTTTTTCTGGAATTTGCAAGTGGAGATTTCAGCCGCTTTGAGGTCAATGGTAGAAAAGGAAATATCTTCGTATAAAAACTAGACAGAATGATTCTCAGAAACTCCTTTGTGATGTGTGCGTTCAACTCACAGAGTTTAACCTTTCTTTTCACAGAGCAGTTAGGAAACACTCTGTTTGTGAAGCCTGCCAGTGGATATTCGGACCTCTTTGAGGCCTTCGTTGGAAACGGGATTTCTTCATATTATGCTAGACAGAAGATTTCTCAGTAACTTCTTTGTGTTGTGTGTATGCAACTCACAGAGTTCAACCTTCCTTTAGACAGAGCAGATTTGAAACACTCTTTTTGTGGAATTTGCAAGTGGAGATTTCAAGCGCTTCGATGCCAATGGTAGAAAAGGAAATATCTTCGTATAAAAACAAGACAAACTCGTTCCCAGACACTGCGTAGTGATGTGTGTGTTTAACTCACAGAGTTTCACCTTTCTTTTCATACAGCATTCTGGAAACCCTGTGTTTGTAAAGTCTGCAAGTGGATATTTGGACCTCTTAGATGCCTTCGTTGGAAACGGGATTTCTTCATATAATGCTAGAGGGAAGAATTCTTAGTAACTTCTTTGTGTTGTGTGTATTCAACTGACAGAGTTGAACCTTCCTTTAGACAGAGCAGATTTGAAAGTCTCTTTTTGTGGAATTTGCAAGTGGAGATTTCAAGCGCTTTGAGGCCAAAAGCAGAAAAGGAAATATTTTCCTATAAAAACTAGACAGAATCTTTCTCAGAAACTGCTCTGGGATGTGTGCGTTCAACTCACAGAGTTTAACTTTTCATTCAGCAGTTTGGAAACACTCTGTTTGGAAAGTCTGCACGTGGATATTTTGACCTCTTTGAGGCCTTCGTTGGAAACGGGTTTTTTTCATGTAAGGCTAGACAGAAGAAATCTCAGTAACTTCCTTGTGTTGTGTGTATTCAACTGACAGAGTTGAACCTTCTTTTAGACAGAGCAGATTCGAAACACTCTTTTTCTGCAATTTGCAAGTGGAGACTTCAAGCGCTTTGAGGCCAAAGGCAGAAAAGGAAATATCTTCGTATAAAAACCCGACAGAATCATTCTCAGAAACTGCTCTGTGATGTGGGCGTTCAACTCACAGAGTTTAACTTTTCTTTTCATTCAGCAGTTTGGAAACACTCTGTTTGTAAAGTCTGCAAGTGGATATCTTGGCCTCTTAGAGGCCTTCGTTGGAAACGGGTTTTTTCATGTAAGGTTAGACAGAGGAATTCCCAGTAACTTCCTTGTGTTGTGTGCATTCAACTCACAGAGTTGAATGATTCTTTACACAGAGCAGATTTGAGACACTCTTTTGGTGGAATTTGTTAGTGGAGAATTCAGCCGCTTTGAGGTCAACGGTAGAAAAGGAAATATCTTCGTATAAAAACTAGACAGAATGATTCTCAGAAACTGTTTTGTGATGTGTGCGTTCAACTCACAGAGTTTAACCTTTCTTTTCAGAGAGCAGTTAGGAAACACTCTGTTTGTAAAGTCTGCAAGCGGATATTCAGACCTCTTTGAGGCCTTCGTTGGAAACGGGATTTCTTCATATTATGCTAGACAGATGAATTCTCAGTAACTTCCTTGTGTTGTGTGTATTCAACTCACAGAGTTGAACGATCCTTTACACAGAGCAGATTTGAAACACTGTTTTTCTGGAATTTGCAAGTGGAGATTTCAGCCGCTTTGAGGTCAATGGTAGAAAAGGAAATATCTTCGTATAAAACCTAGACAGAATGATTCTCAGAAACTCCTTTGTGATGTGTGCGTTCAACTCACAGAGTTTAACCTTTCTTTTCACAGAGCAGTTAGGAAACACTCTGTTTGTGAAGCCTGCCAGTGGATATTCGGACCTCTTTGAGGCCTTCGTTGGAAACGGGATTTCTTCATATTTTGCTAGACAGAAGATTTCTCAGTAACTTCTTTGTGTTGTGTGTATGCAACTCACAGAGTTCAACCTTCCTTTAGACAGAGCAGATTTGAAACACTCTTTTTGTGGAATTTGCAAGTGGAAATTTCAAGCGCATCGATGCCAATGGTAGAAAAGGAAATATCTTCGTATAAAAACAAGACAAACTCGTTCCCAGACACTGCGTAGTGATGTGTGTGTTTAACTCACAGAGTTTAACCTTTCTTTTCATACAGCATTCTGGAAACCCTGTGTTTGTAAAGTCTGCAAGTGGATATTTGGACCTCTTAGATGCCTTCGTTGGAAACGGGATTTCTTCATATAATGCTAGAGGGAAGAATTCTTAGTAACTTCTTTGTGTTGTGTGTATTCAACTGACAGAGTTGAACCTTCCTTTAGACAGAGCAGATTTGAAAGTCTCTTTTTGTGGAATTTGCAAGTGGAGATTTCAAGCGCTTTGAGGCCAAAAGCAGAAAAGGAAATATTTTCCTATAAAAACTCGACAGAATCTTTCTCAGAAACTGCTCTGGGATGTGTGCGTTCAACTCACAGAGTTTAACTTTTCTTTTCATTCAGCAGTTTGGAAACACTCTGTTTGGAAAGTCTGCACGTGGATATTTTGACCTCTTTGAGGCCTTCGTTGGAAACGGGTTTTTTTCATGTAAGGCTAGACAGAAGAAATCTCAGTAACTTCCTTGTGTTGTGTGTATTCAACTGACAGAGTTGAACCTTCCTTTAGACAGAGCAGATTCGAAACACTCTTTTTCTGCAATTTGCAAGTGGAAACTTCAAGCGCTTTGAGGCCAAAGGCAGAAAAGGAAATATCTTCGTATAAAAACCCGACAGAATCACTCTCAGAAACTGCTCTGTGATGTGTGCGTTCAACTCACAGAGTTTAACTTTTCTTTTCATTCAGCAGTTTGGAAACACTCTGTTTGTAAAGTCTGCAAGTGAATATCTTGGCCTCTTAGAGGCCTTCGTTGGAAACGGGTTTTTTCATGTAAGGTTAGACAGAGGAATTCCCAGTAACTTCCTTGTGTTGTGTGCATTCAACTCACAGAGTTGAATGATTCTTTACACAGAGCAGATTTGAGACACTCTTTTGGTGGAATTTGTAAGTGGAGAATTCAGCCGCTTTGAGGTCAACGGTAGAAAAGGAAATATCTTCGTATAAAAACTAGACAGAATGATTCTCAGAAACTGTTTTGTGATGTGTGCGTTCAACTCACAGAGTTTAACCTTTCTTTTCAAAGAGCAGTTAGGAAACACTCTGTTTGTAAAGTCTGCAAGTGGATATTCAGACCTCTTTGAGGCCTTCGTTGGAAACGGGATTTCTTCATATTATGCTAGACAGATGAATTCTCAGTAACTTCCTTGTGTTGTGTGTATTCAACTCACAGAGTTGAACGATCCTTTACACAGAGCAGATTTGAAACACTGTTTTTCTGGAATTTGCAAGTGGAGATTTCAGCCGCTTTGAGGTCAATGGTAGAAAAAGAAATATCTTCGTATAAAAACTAGACAGAATGATTCTCAGAAACTCCTTTGTGATGTGTGCGTTCAACTCACAGAGTTTAACCTTTCTTTTCACAGAGCAGTTAGGAAACACTCTGTTTGTGAAGCCTGCCAGTGGATATTCGGACCTCTTTGAGGCCTTCGTTGGAAACGGGATTTCTTCATATTATGCTAGACAGAAGATTTCTCAGTAACTTCTTTGTGTTGTGTGTATGCAACTCACAGAGTTCAACCTTCCTTTAGACAGAGCAGATTTGAAACACTCTTTTTGTGGAATTTGCAAGTGGAGATTTCAAGCGCTTCGATGCCAATGGTAGAAAAGGAAATATCTTCGTATAAAAACAAGACAAACTCGTTCCCAGACACTGCGTAGTGATGTGTGTGTTTAACTCACAGAGTTTAACCTTTCTTTTCATACAGCATTCTGGAAACCCTCTGTTTGTAAAGTCTGCAAGTGGATATTTGGACCTCTTAGATGCCTTCGTTGCAAACGGGATTTCTTCATATAATGCTAGAGGGAAGAATTCTTAGTAACTTCTTTGTGTTGTGTGTATTCAACTGACAGAGTTGAACCTTCCTTTAGACAGAGCAGATTTGAAAGTCTCTTTTTGTGGAATTTGCAAGTGGAGATTTCAAGCGCTTTGAGGCCAAAAGCAGAAAAGGAAATATTTTCCTATAAAAACTCGACAGAATCTTTCTCAGAAACTGCTCTGGGATGTGTGCGTTCAACTCACAGAGTTTAACTTTTCTTTTCATTCAGCAGTTTGGAAACACTCTGTTTGGAAAGTCTGCACGTGGATATTTTGACCTCTTTGAGGCCTTCGTTGGAAACGGGTTTTTTTCATGTAAGGCTAGACAGAAGAAATCTCAGTAACTTCCTTGTGTTGTGTGTATTCAACTGACAGAGTTGAACCTTCCTTTAGACAGAGCAGATTCGAAACACTCTTTTTCTGCAATTTGCAAGTGGAGACTTCAAGCGCTTTGAGGCCAAAGGCAGAAAAGGAAATATCTTCGTATAAAAACCCGACAGAATCATTCTCAGAAACTGCTCTGTGATGTGTGCGTTCAACTCACAGAGTTTAACTTTTCTTTTCATTCAGCAGTTTGGAAACACTCTGTTTGTAAAGTCTGCAAGTGGATATCTTGGCCTCTTAGAGGCCTTCGTTGGAAACGGGTTTTTTCATGTAAGGATAGACAGAGGAATTCCCAGTAACTTCCTTGTGTTGTGTGCATTCAACTCACAGAGTTGAATGATTCTTTACACAGAGCAGATTTGAGACACTCTTTTGGTGGAATTTGTAAGTGGAGAATTCAGCCGCTTTGAGGTCAACGGTAGAAAAGGAAATATCTTCGTATAAAAACTAGACAGAATGATTCTCAGAAACTGTTTTGTGATGTGTGCGTTCAACTCACAGAGTTTAACCTTTCTTTTCAAAGAGCAGTTAGGAAACACTCTGTTTGTAAAGTCTGCAAGTGGATATTCAGACCTCTTTGAGGCCTTCGTTGGAAACGGGATTTCTTCATATTATGCTAGACAGATGAATTCTCAGTAACTTCCTTGTGTTGTGTGTATTCAACTCACAGAGTTGAACGATCCTTTACACAGAGCAGATTTGAAACACTGTTTTTCTGGAATTTGCAAGTGGAGATTTCAGCCGCTTTGAGGTCAATGGTAGAAAAGGAAATATCTTCGTATAAAAACTAGACAGAATGATTCTCAGAAACTCCTTTGTGATGTGTGCGTTCAACTCACAGAGTTTAACCTTTCTTTTCACAGAGCAGTTAGGAAACACTCTGTTTGTGAAGCCTGCCAGTGGATATTCGGACCTCTTTGAGGCCTTCGTTGGAAACGGGATTTCTTCGTATTATGCTAGACAGAAGATTTCTCAGTAACTTCTTTGTGTTGTGTGTATGCAACTCACAGAGTTCAACCTTCCTTTAGACAGAGCAGATTTGAAACACTCTTTTTGTGGAATTTGCAAGTGGAGATTTCAAGCGCTTCGATGCCAATGGTAGAAAAGGAAATATCTTCGTATAAAAACAAGACAAACTCGTTCCCAGACACTGCGTAGTGATGTGTGTGTTTAACTCACAGAGTTTCACCTTTCTTTTCATACAGCATTCTGGAAACCCTCTGTTTGTAAAGTCTGCAAGTGGATATTTGGACCTCTTAGATGCCTTCGTTGGAAACGGGATTTCTTCATATAATGCTAGAGGGAAGAATTCTTAGTAACTTCTTTGTGTTGTGTGTATTCAACTGACAGAGTTGAACCTTCCTTTAGACAGAGCAGATTTGAAAGTCTCTTTTTGTGGAATTTGCAAGTGGAGATTTCAAGCGCTTTGAGGCCAAAAGCAGAAAAGGAAATATTTTCCTATAAAAACTAGACAGAATCTTTCTCAGAAACTGCTCTGGGATGTGTGCGTTCAACTCACAGAGTTTAACTTTTCTTTTCATTCAGCAGTTTGGAAACACTCTGTTTGGAAAGTCTGCACGTGGATATTTTGACCTCTTTGAGGCCTTCGTTGGAAACGGGTTTTTTTCATGTAAGGCTAGACAGAAGAAATCTCAGTAACTTCCTTGTGTTGTGTGTATTCAACTGACAGAGTTGAACCTTCTTTTAGACAGAGCAGATTCGAAACACTCTTTTTCTGCAATTTGCAAGTGGAGACTTCAAGCGCTTTGAGGCCAAAGGCAGAAAAGGAAATATCTTCGTATAAAAACCCGACAGAATCATTCTCAGAAACTGCTCTGTGATGTGTGCGTTCAACTCACAGAATTTAACTTTTCTTTTCATTCAGCAGTTTGGAAACACTCTGTTTGTAAAGTCTGCAAGTGGATATCTTGGCCTCTTAGAGGCCTTCGTTGGAAACGGGTTTTTTCATGTAAGGTTAGACAGAGGAATTCCCAGTAACTTCCTTGTGTTGTGTGCATTCAACTCACAGAGTTGAATGATTCTTTACACAGAGCAGATTTGAGACACTCTTTTGGTGGAATTTGTAAGTGGAGAATTCAGCTGCTTTGAGGTCAACGGTAGAAAAGGAAATATCTTCGTATAAAAACTAGACAGAATGATTCTCAGAAACTGTTTTGTGATGTGTGCGTTCAACTCACAGAGTTTAACCTTTCTTTTCAAAGAGCAGTTAGGAAACACTCTGTTTGTAAAGTCTGCAAGTGGATATTCAGACCTCTTTGAGGCCTTCGTTGGAAACGGGATTTCTTCATATTATGCTAGACAGATGAATTCTCAGTAACTTCCTTGTGTTGTGTGTATTCAACTCACAGAGTTGAACGATCCTTTACACAGAGCAGATTTGAAACACTGTTTTTCTGGAATTTGCAAGTGGAGATTTCAGCCGCTTTGAGGTCAATGGTAGAAAAGGAAATATCTTCGTATAAAAACTAGACAGAATGATTCTCAGAAACTCCTTTGTGATGTGTGCGTTCAACTCACAGGGTTTAACCTTTCTTTTCACAGAGCAGTTAGGAAACACTCTGTTTGTGAAGCCTGCCAGTGGATATTCGGACCTCTTTGAGGCCTTCTTTGGAAACGGGATTTCTTCATATTATGCTAGACAGAAGATTTCTCAGTAACTTCTTTGTGTTGTGTGTATGCAACTCACAGAGTTCAACCTTCCTTTAGACAGAGCAGATTTGAAACACTCTTTTTGTGGAATTTGCAAGTGGAGATTTCAAGCGCTTCGATGCCAATGGTAGAAAAGGAAATATCTTCGTATAAAAACAAGACAAACTCGTTCCCAGACACTGCGTAGTGATGTGTGTGTTTAACTCACAGAGTTTCACCTTTCTTTTCATACAGCATTCTGGAAACCCTCTGTTTGTAAAGTCTGCAAGTGGATATTTGGACCTCTTAGATGCCTTCGTTGCAAACGGGATTTCTTCATATAATGCTAGAGGGAAGAATTCTTAGTAACTTCTTTGTGTTGTGTGTATTCAACTGACAGAGTTGAACCTTCCTTTAGACAGAGCAGATTTGAAAGTCTCTTTTTGTGGAATTTGCAAGTGGAGATTTCAAGCGCTTTGAGGCCAAAAGCAGAAAAGGAAATATTTTCCTATAAAAACTCGACAGAATCTTTCTCAGAAACTGCTCTGGGATGTGTGCGTTCAACTCACAGAGTTTAACTTTTCTTTTCATTCAGCAGTTTGGAAACACTCTGTTTGGAAAGTCTGCACGTGGATATTTTGACCTCTTTGAGGCCTTCGTTGGAAACGGGTTTTTTTCATGTAAGGCTAGACAGAAGAAATCTCAGTAACTTCCTTGTGTTGTGTGTATTCAACTGACAGAGTTGAACCTTCCTTTAGACAGAGCAGATTCGAAACACTCTTTTTCTGCAATTTGCAAGTGGAGACTTCAAGCGCTTTGAGGCCAAAGACAGAAAAGGAAATATCTTCGTATAAAAACCCGACAGAATCATTCTCAGAAACTGCTCTGTGATGTGTGCGTTCAACTCACAGAGTTTAACTTTTCTTTTCATTCAGCAGTTTGGAAACACTCTGTTTGTAAAGTCTGCAAGTGGATATCTTGGCCTCTTAGAGGCCTTCGTTGGAAACGGGTTTTTTCATGTAAGGTTAGACAGAGGAATTCCCAGTAACTTCCTTGTGTTGTGTGCATTCAACTCACAGAGTTGAATGATTCTTTACACAGAGCAGATTTGAGACACTCTTTTGGTGGAATTTGTTAGTGGAGAATTCAGCCGCTTTGAGGTCAACGGTAGAAAAGGAAATATCTTCGTATAAAAACTAGACAGAATGATTCTCAGAAACTGTTTTGTGATGTGTGCGTTCAACTCACAGAGTTTAACCTTTCTTTTCAAAGAGCAGTTAGGAAACACTCTGTTTGTAAAGTCTGCAAGTGGATATTCAGACCTCTTTGAGGCCTTCGTTGGAAACGGGATTTCTTCATATTATGCTAGACAGATGAATTCTCAGTAACTTTCCTTGTGTTGTGTGTATTCAACTCACAGAGTTAAACGATCCTTTACACAGAGCAGATTTGAAACACTGTTTTTCTGGAATTTGCAAGTGGAGATTTCAGCCGCTTTGAGGTCAATGGTAGAAAAGGAAATATCTTCGTATAAAAACTAGACAGAATGATTCTCAGAAACTCCTTTGTGATGTGTGCGTTCAACTCACAGAGTTTAACCTTTCTTTTCACAGAGCAGTTAGGAAACACTCTGTTTGTGAAGCCTGCCAGTGGATATTCGGACCTCTTTGAGGCCTTCGTTGGAAACGGGATTTCTTCATATTATGCTAGACAGAAGATTTCTCAGTAAATTCTTTGTGTTGTGTGTATGCAACTCACAGAGTTCAACCTTCCTTTAGACAGAGCAGATTTGAAACACTCTTTTTGTGGAATTTGCAAGTGGAGATTTCAAGCGCTTCGATGCCAATGGTAGAAAAGGAAATATCTTCGTATAAAAACAAGACAAACTCGTTCCCAGACACTGCGTAGTGATGTGTGTGTTTAACTCACAGAGTTTAACCTTTCTTTTCATACAGCATTCTGGAAACCCTGTGTTTGTAAAGTCTGCAAGTGGATATTTGGACCTTTTAGATGCCTTCGTTGGAAACGGGATTTCTTCATATAATGCTAGAGGGAAGAATTCTTAGTAACTTCTTTGTGTTGTGTGTATTCAACTGACAGAGTTGAACCTTCCTTTAGACAGAGCAGATTTGAAAGTCTCTTTTTGTGGAATTTGCAAGTGGAGATTTCAAGCGCTTTGAGGCCAAAAGCAGAAAAGGAAATATTTTCCTATAAAAACTCGACAGAATCATTCTCAGAAACTGCTCTGTGATGTGTGCGTTCAACTCACAGAGTTTAACTTTTCTTTTCATTCAGCAGTTTGGAAACACTGTTTGGAAAGTCTGCACGTGGATATTTTGACCTCTTTGAGGCCTTCGTTGGAAACGGGTTTTTTTCATGTAAGGCTAGACAGAAGAAATCTCAGTAACTTCCTTGTGTTGTGTGTATTCAACTGACAGAGTTGAACCTTCCTTTAGACAGAGCAGATTCGAAACACTCTTTTTCTGCAATTTGCAAGTGGAGACTTCAAGCGCTTTGAGGCCAAAGGCAGAAAAGGAAATATCTTCGTATGAAAACCCGACAGAAATCATTCTCAGAAACTGCTCTGTGATGTGTGCGTTCAACTCACAGAGTTTAACTTTTCTTTTCATTCAGCAGTTTGGAAACACTCTGTTTGTAAGGTCTGCAAGTGGATATCTTGGCCTCTTAGAGGCCTTCGTTGGAAACGGGTTTTTTCATGTAAGTTTAGACAGAGGAATTCCCAGTAACTTCCTTGTGTTGTGTGCATTCAACTCACAGAGTTGAATGATTCTTTACACAGAGCAGATTTGAGACACTCTTTTGGTGGAATTTGTAAGTGGAGAATTCAGCCGCTTTGAGGTCAACGGTAGAAAAGGAAATATCTTCGTATAAAAACTAGACAGAATGATTCTCAGAAACTGTTTTGTGATGTGTGCGTTCAACTCACAGAGTTTAACCTTTCTTTTCAAAGAGCAGTTAGGAAACACTCTGTTTGTAAAGTCTGCAAGTGGATATTCAGACCTCTTTGAGGCCTTCGTTGGAAACGGGATTTCTTCATATTATGCTAGACAGATGAATTCTCAGTAACTTCCTTGTGTTGTGTGTATTCAACTCACAGAGTTGAACGATCCTTTACACAGAGCAGATTTGAAACACTGTTTTTCTGGAATTTGCAAGTGGAGATTTCAGCCGCTTTGAGGTCAATGGTAGAAAAAGAAATATCTTCGTATAAAAACTAGACAGAATGATTCTCAGAAACTCCTTTGTGATGTGTGCGTTCAACTCACAGAGTTTAACCTTTCTTTTCACAGAGCAGTTAGGAAACACTCTGTTTGTGAAGCCTGCCAGTGGATATTCGGACCTCTTTGAGGCCTTCGTTGGAAACGGGATTTCTTCATATTATGCTAGACAGAAGATTTCTCAGTAACTTCTTTGTGTTGTGTGTATGCAACTCACAGAGTTCAACCTTCCCTTAGACAGAGCAGATTTGAAACACTCTTTTTGTGGAATTTGCAAGTGGAGATTTCAAGCGCTTCGATGCCAATGGTAGAAAAGGAAATATCTTCGTATAAAAACAAGACAAACTCGTTCCCAGACACTGCGTAGTGATGTGTGTGTTTAACTCACAGAGTTTCACCTTTCTTTTCATACAGCATTCTGGAAACCGTGTGTTTGTAAAGTCTGCAAGTGGATATTTGGACCTCTTAGATGCCTTCGTTGGAAACGGGATTTCTTCATATAATGCTAGAGGGAAGAATTCTTAGTAACTTCTTTGTGTTGTGTGTATTCAACTGACAGAGTTGAACCTTCCTTTAGACAGAGCAGATTTGAAAGTCTCTTTTTGTGGAATTTGCAAGTGGAGATTTCAAGCGCTTTGAGGCCGAAAGCAGAAAAGGAAATATTTTCCTATAAAAACTCGACAGAATCTTTCTCAGAAACTGCTCTGGGATGTGTGCGTTCAACTCACAGAGTTTAACTTTTCTTTTCATTCAGCAGTTTGGAAACACTCTGTTTGGAAAGTCTGCACGTGGATATTTTGACCTCTTTGAGGCCTTCGTTGGAAACGGGTTTTTTTCATGTAAGGCTAGACAGAAGAAATCTCAGTAACTTCCTTGTGTTGTGTGTATTCAACTGACAGAGTTGAACCTTCCTTTAGACAGAGCAGATTCGAAACACTCTTTTTCTGCAATTTGCAAGTGGAGACTTCAAGCGCTTTGAGGCCAAAGGCAGAAAAGGAAATATCTTCGTATAAAAACCCGACAGAATCATTCTCAGAAACTGCTCTGTGATGTGTGCGTTCAACTCACAGAGTTTAACTTTTCTTTTCATTCAGCAGTTTGGAAACACTCTGTTTGTAAAGTCTGCAAGTGGATATCTTGGCCTCTTAGAGGCCTTCGTTGGAAACGGGTTTTTTCATGTAAGGTTAGACAGAGGAATTCCCAGTAACTTCCTTGTGTTGTGTGCATTCAACTCACAGAGTTGAATGATTCTTTACACAGAGCAGATTTGAGACACTCTTTTGGTGGAATTTGTAAGTGGAGAATTCAGCCGCTTTGAGGTCAACGGTAGAAAAGGAAATATCTTCGTATAAAAACTAGACAGAATGATTCTCAGAAACTGTTTTGTGATGTGTGCGTTCAACTCACAGAGTTTAACCTTTCTTTTCAAAGAGCAGTTAGGAAACACTCTGTTTGTAAAGTCTGCAAGTGGATATTCAGACCTCTTTGAGGCCTTCGTTGGAAACGGGATTTCTTCATATTATGCTAGACAGATGAATTCTCAGTAACTTCCTTGTGTTGTGTGTATTCAACTCACAGAGTTGAACGATCCTTTACACAGAGCAGATTTGAAACACTGTTTTTCTGGAATTTGCAAGTGGAGATTTCAGCTGCTTTGAGGTCAATGGTAGAAAAGGAAATATCTTCGTATAAAAACTAGACAGACTCGTTCCCAGACACTGCGTAGTGATGTGTGTGTTTAACACACAGAGTTTAACCTTTCTTTTCATACAGCATTCTGGAAACCCTCTGTTTGTAAAGTCTGCAAGTGGATATTTGGACCTCTTAGATGCCTTCGTTGGAAACGGGATTTCTTCATATAATGCTAGAGGGAAGAATTCTTAGTAACTTCTTTGTGTTGTGTGTATTCAACTGACAGAGTTGAACCTTCCTTTAGACAGAGCAGATTCGAAACACTCTTTTTCTGCAATTTGCAAGTGGAGACTTCAAGCGCTTTGAGGCCAAAGGCAGAAAAGGAAATATCTTCGTATAAAAACCCGACAGAATCATTCTCAGAAACTGCTCTGTGATGTGTGCGTTCAACTCACAGAGTTTAACTTTTCTTTTCATTCAGCAGTTTGGAAACACTCTGTTTGTAAAGTCTGCAAGTGGATATCTTGGCCTCTTAGAGGCCTTCATTGGAAACGGGTTTTTTCATGTAAGGTTAGACAGAGGAATTCCCAGTAACTTCCTTGTGTTGTGTGCATTCAACTCACAGAGTTGAATGATTCTTTACACAGAGCAGATTTGAGACACTCTTTTGGTGGAATTTGTAAGTGGAGAATTCAGCTGCTTTGAGGTCAATGGTAGAAAAGGAAATATCTTCGTATAAAAACTAGACAGAATGATTCTCAGAAACTGTTTTGTGATGTGTGCGTTCAACTCACAGAGTTTAACCTTTCTTTTCAAAGAGCAGTTAGGAAACACTCTGTTTGTAAAGTCTGCAAGTGGATATTCAGACCTCTTTGAGGCCTTCGTTGGAAACGGGATTTCTTCATATTATGCTAGACAGATGAATTCTCAGTAACTTCCTTGTGTTGTGTGTATTCAACTCACAGAGTTGAACGATCCTTTACACAGAGCAGATTTGAAACACTGCTTTTCTGGAATTTGCAAGTGGAGATTTCAGCCGCTTTGAGGTCAATGGTAGAAAAGGAAATATCTTCGTATAAAAACTAGACAGAATGATTCTCAGAAACTCCTTTGTGATGTGTGCGTTCAACTCACAGAGTTTAACCTTTCTTTTCACAGAGCAGTTAGGAAACACTCTGTTTGTGAAGCCTGCCAGTGGATATTCGGACCTCTTTGAGGCCTTCGTTGGAAACGGGATTTCTTCATATTATGCTAGACAAAAGATTTCTCAGTAACTTCTTTGTGTTGTGTGTATGCAACTCACAGAGTTCAACCTTCCTTTAGACAGAGCAGATTTGAAACACTCTTTTTGTGGAATTTGCAAGTGGAGATTTCAAGCGCTTCGATGCCAATGGTAGAAAAGGAAATATCTTCGTATAAAAACAAGACAAACTCGTTCCCAGACACTGCGTAGTGATGTGTGTGTTTAACTCACAGAGTTTCACCTTTCTTTTCATACAGCATTCTGGAAACCCTCTGTTTGTAAAGTCTGCAAGTGGATATTTGGACCTCTTAGATGCCTTCGTTGGAAACGGGATTTCTTCATATAATGCTAGAGGGAAGAATTCTTAGTAACTTCTTTGTGTTGTGTGTATTCAACTGACAGAGTTGAACCTTCCTTTAGACAGAGCAGATTTGAAAGTCTCTTTTTGTGGAATTTGCAAGTGGAGATTTCAAGCGCTTTGAGGCCGAAAGCAGAAAAGGAAATATTTTCCTATAAAAACTCGACAGAATCTTTCTCAGAAACTGCTGTGGGATGTGTGCGTTCAACTCACAGAGTTTAACTTTTCTTTTCATTCAGCAGTTTGGAAACACTCTGTTTGGAAAGTCTGCACGTGGATATTTTGACCTCTTTGAGGCCTTCGTTGGAAACGGGTTTTTTTCATGTAAGGCTAGACAGAAGAAATCTCAGTAACTTCCTTGTGTTGTGTGTATTCAACTGACAGAGTTGAACCTTCCTTTAGACAGAGCAGATTCGAAACACTCTTTTTCTGCAATTTGCAAGTGGAGACTTCAAGCGATTTGAGGCCAAAGGCAGAAAAGGAAATATCTTCGTATAAAAACCCGACAGAATCATTCTCAGAAACTGCTCTGTGATGTGTGCGTTCAACTCACAGAGCTTAACTTTTCTTTTCATTCAGCAGTTTGGAAACACTCTGTTTGTAAAGTCTGCAAGTGGATATCTTGGCCTCTTAGAGGCCTTCGTTGGAAACGGGTTTTTTCATGTAAGGATAGACAGAGGAATTCCCAGTAACTTCCTTGTGTTGTGTGCATTCAACTCACAGAGTTGAATGATTCTTTACACAGAGCAGATTTGAGACACTCTTTTGGTGGAATTTGTAAGTGGAGAATTCAGCCGCTTTGAGGTCAACGGTAGAAAAGGAAATATCTTCGTATAAAAACTAGACAGAATGATTCTCAGAAACTGTTTTGTGATGTGTGCGTTCAACTCACAGAGTTTAACCTTTCTTTTCAAAGAGCAGTTAGGAAACACTCTGTTTGTAAAGTCTGCAAGTGGATATTCAGACCTCTTTGAGGCCTTCGTTGGAAACGGGATTTCTTCATATTATGCTAGACAGATGAATTCTCAGTAACTTCCTTGTGTTGTGTGTATTCAACTCACAGAGTTGAACGATCCTTTACACAGAGCAGATTTGAAACACTGTTTTTCTGGAATTTGCAAGTGGAGATTTCAGCCGCTTTGAGGTCAATGGTAGAAAAGGAAATATCTTCGTATAAAAACTAGACAGAATGATTCTCAGAAACTCCTTTGTGATGTGTGCGTTCAACTCACAGAGTTTAACCTTTCTTTTCACAGAGCAGTTAGGAAACACTCTGTTTGTGAAGCCTGCCAGTGGATATTCGGACCTCTTTGAGGCCTTCGTTGGAAACGGGATTTCTTCATATTATGCTAGACAGAAGATTTCTCAGTAACTTCTTTGTGTTGTGTGTATGCAACTCACAGAGTTCAACCTTCCTTTAGACAGAGCAGATTTGAAACACTCTTTTTGTGGAATTTGCAAGTGGAGATTTCAAGCGCTTCGATGCCAATGGTAGAAAAGGAAATATCTTCGTATAAAAACAAGACAAACTCGTTCCCAGACACTGCGTAGTGATGTGTGTGTTTAACTCACAGAGTTTAACCTTTCTTTTCATACAGCATTCTGGAAACCCTCTGTTTGTAAAGTCTGCAAGTGGATATTTGGACCTCTTAGATGCCTTCGTTGGAAACGGGATTTCTTCATATAATGCTAGAGGGAAGAATTCTTAGTAACTTCTTTGTGTTGTGTGTATTCAACTGACAGAGTTGAACCTTCCTTTAGACAGAGCAGATTTGAAAGTCTCTTTTTGTGGAATTTGCAAGTGGAGATTTCAAGCGCTTTGAGGCCAAAAGCAGAAAAGGAAATATTTTCCTATAAAAACTAGAGAGAATCATTCTCAGAAACTGCTCTGTGATGTGTGCGTTCAACTCACAGAGTTTAACTTTCTTTTCATTCAGCAGTTTGGAAACACTGTTTGGAAAGTCTGCACGTGGATATTTTGACCTCTTTGAGGCCTTCGTTGGAAACGGGTTTTTTTCATGTAAGGCTAGACAGAAGAAATCTCAGTAACTTCCTTGTGTTGTGTGTATTCAACTGACAGAGTTGAACCTTCCTTTAGACAGAGCAGATTCGAAACACTCTTTTTCTGCAATTTGCAAGTGGAGACTTCAAGCGCTTTGAGGCCAAAGGCAGAAAAGGAAATATCTTCGTATAAAAACCCGACAGAATCATTCTCAGAAACTGCTCTGTGATGTGTGCGTTCAACTCACAGAGTTTAACTTTTCTTTTCATTCAGCAGTTTGGAAACACTCTGTTTGTAAAGTCTGCAAGTGGATATCTTGGCCTCTTAGAGGCCTTCGTTGGAAACGGGTTTTATCATGTAAGGTTAGACAGAGGAATTCCCAGTAACTTCCTTGTGTTGTGTGCATTCAACTCACAGAGTTGAATGATTCTTTACACAGAGCAGATTTGAGACACTCTTTTGGTGGAATTTGTAAGTGGAGAATTCAGCCGCTTTGAGGTCAACGGTAGAAAAGGAAATATCTTCGTATAAAAACTAGACAGAATGATTCTCAGAAACTGTTTTGTGATGTGTGCTTTCAACTCACAGAGTTTAACCTTTCTTTTCAAAGAGCAGTTAGGAAACACTCTGTTTGTAAAGTCTGCAAGTGGATATTCAGACCTCTTTGAGGCCTTCGTTGGAAACGGGATTTCTTCATATTATGCTAGACAGATGAATTCTCAGTAACTTCCTTGTGTTGTGTGTATTCAACTCACAGAGTTGAACGATCCTTTACACAGAGCAGATTTGAAACACTGTTTTTCTGGAATTTGCAAGTGGAGATTTCAGCCGCTTTGAAGTCAATGGTAGAAAAGGAAATATCTTCGTATAAAAACTAGACAGAATGATTCTCAGAAACTCCTTTGTGATGTGTGCGTTCAACTCACAGAGTTTAACCTTTCTTTTCACAGAGCAGTTAGGAAACACTCTGTTTGTGAAGCCTGCCAGTGGATATTCGGACCTCTTTGAGGCCTTCGTTGGAAACGGGATTTCTTCATATTATGCTAGACAGAAGAATTCTTAGTAACTTCTTTGTGTTGTGTGTATTCAACTGACAGAGTTGAACCTTCCTTTAGACAGAGCAGATTTGAAAGTCTCTTTTTGTGGAATTTGCAAGTGGAGATTTCAAGCGCTTTGAGGCCAAAAGTAGAAAAGGAAATATTTTCCTATAAAAACTCGACAGAATCACTCTCAGAAACTGCTCTGTGATGTGTGCGTTCAACTCACAGAGTTTAACTTTTCTTTTCATTCAGCAGTTTGGAAACACTCTGTTTGTAAAGTCTGCAAGTGGATATCTTGGCCTCTTAGAGGCCTTCGTTGGAAACGGGTTTTTTCATGTAAGGATAGACAGAGGAATTCCCAGTAACTTCCTTGTGTTGTGTGCATTCAACTCACAGAGTTGAATGATTCTTTACACAGAGCAGTTTTGAGACACTCTTTTGGTGGAATTTGTAAGTGGAGAATTCAGCCGCTTTGAGGTCAACGGTAGAAAAGGAAATATCTTCGTATAAAAACTAGACAGAATGATTCTCAGAAACTGTTTTGTGATGTGTGCGTTCAACTCACAGAGTTTAACCTTTCTTTTCAAAGAGCAGTTAGGAAACACTCTGTTTGTAAAGTCTGCAAGAGGATATTCAGACCTCTTTGAGGCCTTCGTTGGAAACGGGATTTCTTCATATTATGCTAGACAGATGAATTCTCAGTAACTTCCTTGTGTTGTGTGTATTCAACTCACAGAGTTGAACGATCCTTTACACAGAGCAGATTTGAAACACTGTTTTTCTGGAATTTGCAAGTGGAGATTTCAGCCGCTTTGAGGTCAATGGTAGAAAAGGAAATATCTTCGTATAAAAACTAGACAGAATGATTCTCAGAAACTCCTTTGTGATGTGTGCGTTCAACTCACAGAGTTTAACCTTTCTTTTCACAGAGCAGTTAGGAAACACTCTGTTTGTGAAGCCTGCCAGTGGATAATCGGACCTCTTTGAGGCCTTCGTTGGAAACGGGATTTCTTCATATTATGCTATTCAGAAGATTTCTCAGTAACTTCTTTGTGTTGTGTGTATGCAACTCACAGAGTTCAACCTTCCTTTAGACAGAGCAGATTTGAAACACTCTTTTTGTGGAATTTGCAAGTGGAGATTTCAAGCGCTTCGATGCCAATGGTAGAAAAGGAAATATCTTCGTATAAAAACAAGACAAACTCGTTCCCAGACACTGCGTAGTGATGTGTGTGTTTAACTCACAGAGTTTCACCTTTCTTTTCATACAGCATTCTGGAAACCCTCTGTTTGTAAAGTCTGCAAGTGGATATTTGGACCTCTTAGATGCCTTCGTTGGAAACGGGATTTCTTCATATAATGCTAGAGGGAAGAATTCTTAGTAACTTCTTTGTGTTGTGTGTATTCAACTGACAGAGTTGAACCTTCCTTTAGACAGAGCAGATTTGAAAGTCTCTTTTTGTGGAATTTGCAAGTGGAGATTTCAAGCGCTTTGAGGCCAAAAGCAGAAAAGGAAATATTTTCCTATAAAAACTAGACAGAATCATTCTCAGAAACTGCTCTGTGATGTGTGTGTTCAACTCAGAGAGTTTAACTTTCTTTTCATTCAGCAGTTTGGAAACACTCTGTTTGGAAAGTCTGCACGTGGATATTTTGACCTCTTTGAGGCCTTCGTTGGAAACGAGTTTTTTTCATGTAAGGCTAGACAGAAGAAATCTCAGTAACTTCCTTGTGTTGTGTGTATTCAACTGACAGAGTTGAACCTTCCTTTAGACAGAGCAGATTCGAAACACTCTTTTTCTGCAATTTGCAAGTGTAGACTTCAAGCGCTTTGAGGCCAAAGGCAGAAAAGGAAATATCTTCGTATAAAAACCCGACAGAATCATTCTCAGAAACTGCTCTGTGATGTGTGCGTTCAACTCACAGAGTTTAACTTTTCTTTTCATTCAGCAGTTTGGAAACACTCTGTTTGTAAAGTCTGCAAGTGGATATCTTGGCCTCTTAGAGGCCTTCGTTGGAAATGGGTTTTTTCATGTAAGGTTAGACAGAGGAATTCCCAGTAACTTCCTTGTGTTGTGTGCATTCAACTCACAGAGTTGAATGATTCTTTACACAGAGCAGATTTGAGACACTCTTTTGGTGGAATTTGTAAGTGGAGAATTCAGCCGCTTTGAGGTCAACGGTAGAAAAGCAAATATCTTCGTATAAAAACTAGACAGAATGATTCTCAGAAACTGTTTTGTGATGTGTGCGTTCAACTCACAGAGTTTAACCTTTCTTTTCAAAGAGCAGTTAGGAAACACTCTGTTTGTAAAGTCTGCAAGTGGATATTCAGACCTCTTTGAGGCCTTCGTTGGAAACGGGATTTCTTCATATTATGCTAGACAGATGAATTCTCAGTAACTTCCTTGTGTTGTGTGTATTCAACTCACAGAGTTAAACGATCCTTTACACAGAGCAGATTTGAAACACTGTTTTTCTGGAATTTGCAAGTGGAGATTTCAGCCGCTTTGAGGTCAACGGTAGAAAAGGAAATATCTTCGTATAAAAACTAGACAGAATGATTCTCAGAAACTCCTTTGTGATGTGTGCGTTCAACTCACAGAGTTTAACCTTTCTTTTCACAGAGCAGTTAGGAAACACTCTGTTTGTGAAGCCTGCCAGTGGATATTCGGACCTCTTTGAGGCCTTCGTTGGAAACGGGATTTCTTCATATTATGCTAGACAGAAGATTTCTCAGTAACTTCTTTGTGTTGTGTGTATGCAACTCACAGAGTTCAACCTTCCTTTAGACAGAGCAGATTTGAAACACTCTTTTTGTGGAATTTGCAAGTGGAGATTTCAAGCGCTTCGATGCCAATGGTAGAAAAGGAAATATCTTCGTAGAAAAACAAGACAAACTCGTTCCCAGACACTGCGTAGTGATGTGTGTGTTTAACTCACAGAGTTTAACCTTTCTTTTCATACAGCATTCTGGAAACCCTGTGTTTGTAAAGTCTGCAAGTGGATATTTGGACCTCTTGGATGCCTTCGTTGGAAACGGGATTTCTTCATATAATGCTAGAGGGAAGAATTCTTAGTAACTTCTTTGTGTTGTGTGTATTCAACTGACAGAGTTGAACCTTCCTTTAGACAGAGCAGATTTGAAAGTCTCTTTTTGTGGAATTTGCAAGTGGAGATTTCAAGCGCTTTGAGGCCAAAAGCAGAAAAGGAAATATTTTCCTATAAAAACTCGACAGAATCTTTCTCAGAAACTGCTCTGGGATGTGTGCGTTCAACTCACAGAGTTTAACTTTTCTTTTCATTCAGCAGTTTGGAAACACTCTGTTTGGAAAGTCTGCACGTGGATATTTTGACCTCTTTGAGGCCTTCGTTGGAAACGGGTTTTTTTCATGTAAGGCTAGACAGAAGAAATCTCAGTAACTTCCTTGTGTTGTGTGTATTCAACTGACAGAGTTGAACCTTCCTTTAGACAGAGCAGATTCGAAACACTCTTTTTCTGCAATTTGCAAGTGGAGACTTCAAGCGCTTTGAGGCCAAAGGCAGAAAAGGAAATATCTTCGTATAAAAACCCGACAGAATCATTCTCAGAAACTGCTCTGTGATGTGTGCGTTCAACTCACAGAGTTTAACTTTTCTTTTCATTCAGCAGTTTGGAAACACTCTGTTTGTAAAGTCTGCAAGTGGATATCTTGGCCTCTTAGAGGCCTTCGTTGGAAACGGGTTTTTTCATGTAAGGTTAGACAGAGGAATTCCCAGTAACTTCCTTGTGTTGTGTGCATTCAACTCACAGAGTTGAATGATTCTTTACACAGAGCAGATTTGAGACACTCTTTTGGTGGAATTTGTAAGTGGAGAATTCAGCCGCTTTGAGGTCAACGGTAGAAAAGGAAATATCTTCGTATAAAAACTAGACAGAATGATTCTCAGAAACTGTTTTGTGATGTGTGCGTTCAACTCACAGAGTTTAACCTTTCTTTTCAAAGAGCAGTTAGGAAACACTCTGTTTGTAAAGTCTGCAAGTGGATATTCAGACCTCTTTGAGGCCTTCGTTGGAAACGGGATTTCTTCATATTATGCTAGACAGATGAATTCTCAGTAACTTCCTTGTGTTGTGTGTATTCAACTCACAGAGTTGAACGATCCTTTACACAGAGCAGATTTGAAACACTGTTTTTCTGGAATTTGCAAGTGGAGATTTCAGCCGCTTTGAGGTCAATGGTAGAAAAGGAAATATCTTCGTATAAAAACTAGACAGAATGATTCTCAGAAACTCCTTTGTGATGTGTGCGTTCAACTCACAGAGTTTAACCTTTCTTTTCACAGAGCAGTTAGGAAACACTCTGTTTGTGAAGCCTGCCAGTGGATATTCGGACCTCTTTGAGGCCTTCGTTGGAAACGGGATTTCTTCATATTATGCTAGACAGAAGATTTCTCAGTAACTTCTTTGTGTTGTGTGTATGCAACTCACAGAGTTCAACCTTCCTTTAGACAGAGCAGATTTGAAACACTCTTTTTGTGGAATTTGCAAGTGGAGATTTCAAGCGCTTCGATGCCAATGGTAGAAAAGGAAATATCTTCGTATAAAAACAAGACAAACTCGTTCCCAGACACTGCGTAGTGATGTGTGTGTTTAACTCACAGAGTTTAACCTTTCTTTTCATACAGCATTCTGGAAACCCTGTGTTTGTAAAGTCTGCAAGTGGATATTTGGACCTCTTAGATGCCTTCGTTGGAAACGGGATTTCTTCATATAATGCTAGAGGGAAGAATTCTTAGTAACTTCTTTGTGTTGTGTGTATTCAACTGACAGAGTTGAACCTTCCTTTAGACAGAGCAGATTTGAAAGTCTCTTTTTGTGGAATTTGCAAGTGGAGATTTCAAGCGCTTTGAGGCCAAAAGCAGAAAAGGAAATATTTTCCTATAAAAACTCGACAGAATCTTTCTCAGAAACTGCTCTGGGATGTGTGCGTTCAACTCACAGAGTTTAACTTTTCTTTTCATTCAGCAGTTTGGAAACACTCTGTTTGGAAAGTCTGCACGTGGATATTTTGACCTCTTTGAGGCCTTCGTTGGAAACGGGTTTTTTTCATGTAAGGCTAGACAGAAGAAATCTCAGTAACTTCCTTGTGTTGTGTGTATTCAACTGACAGAGTTGAACCTTCCTTTAGACAGAGCAGATTCGAAACACTCTTTTTCTGCAATTTGCAAGTGGAGACTTCAAGCGCTTTGAGGCCAAAGGCAGAAAAGGAAATATCTTCGTATAAAAACCCGACAGAATCATTCTCAGAAACTGCTCTGTGATGTGTGCGTTCAACTCACAGAGTTTAACTTTTCTTTTCATTCAGCAGTTTGGAAACACTCTGTTTGTAAAGTCTGCAAGTGGATATCTTGGCCTCTTAGAGGCCTTCGTTGGAAACGGGTTTTTTCATGTAAGGTTAGACAGAGGAATTCCCACTAACTTCCTTGTGTTGTGTGCATTCAACTCACAGAGTTGAATGATTCTTTACACAGAGCAGATTTGAGACACTCTTTTGGTGGAATTTGTAAGTGGAGAATTCAGCCGCTTTGATGTCAACGGTAGAAAAGGAAATATCTTCGTATAAAAACTAGACAGAATGATTCTCAGAAACTGTTTTGTGATGTGTGCTTTCAACTCACAGAGTTTAACCTTTCTTTTCAAAGAGCAGTTAGGAAACACTCTGTTTGTAAAGTCTGCAAGTGGATATTCAGACCTCTTTGAGGCCTTCGTTGGAAACGGGATTTCTTCATATTATGCTAGACAGATGAATTCTCAGTAACTTCCTTGTGTTGTGTGTATTCAACTCACAGAGTTGAACGATCCTTTACACAGAGCAGATTTGAAACACTGTTTTTCTGGAATTTGCAAGTGGAGATTTCAGCCGCTTTGAGGTCAATGGTAGAAAAGGAAATATCTTCGTATAAAAACTAGACAGAATGATTCTCAGAAACTCCTTTGTGATGTGTGCGTTCAACTCACAGAGTTTAACCTTTCTTTTCACAGAGCAGTTAGGAAACACTCTGTTTGTGAAGCCTGCCAGTGGATATTCAGACCTCTTTGAGGCCTTCGTTGGAAACGGGATTTCTTCATATTATGCTAGACAGAAGATTTCTCAGTAACTTCTTTGTGTTGTGTGTATGCAACTCACAGAGTTCAACCTTCCTTTAGACAGAGCAGATTTGAAACACTCTTTTTGTGGAATTTGCAAGTGGAGATTTCAAGCGCTTCGATGCCAATGGTAGAAAAGGAAATATCTTCGTATAAAAACAAGACAAACTCGTTCCCAGACACTGCGTAGTGATGTGTGTGTTTAACTCACAGAGTTTCACCTTTCTTTTCATACAGCATTCTGGAAACCCTCTGTTTGTAAAGTCTGCAAGTGGATATTTGGACCTCTTAGATGCCTTCGTTGGAAACGGGATTTCTTCATATAATGCTAGAGGGAAGAATTCTTAGTAACTTCTTTGTGTTGTGTGTATTCAACTGACAGAGTTGAACCTTCCTTTAGACAGAGCAGATTTGAAAGTCTCTTTTTGTGGAATTTGCAAGTGGAGATTTCAAGCGCTTTGAGGCCAAAAGCAGAAAAGGAAATATTTTCCTATAAAACCTAGACAGATCTTTCTCAGAAACTGCTCTGGGATGTGTGCGTTCAACTCACAGAGTTTAACTTTTCTTTTCATTCAGCAGTTTGGAAACACTCTGTTTGGAAAGTCTGCACGTGGATATTTTGACCTCTTTGAGGCCTTCGTTGGAAACGGGTTTTTTTCATGTAAGGCTAGACAGAAGAAATCTCAGTAACTTCCTTGTGTTGTGTGTATTCAACTGACAGAGTTGAACCTTCCTTTAGACAGAGCAGATTCGAAACACTCTTTTTCTGCAATTTGCAAGTGGAGACTTCAAGCGCTTTGAGGCCAAAGGCAGAAAAGGAAATATCTTCGTATAAAAACCCGACAGAATCATTCTCAGAAACTGCTCTGTGATGTGTGCGTTCAACTCACAGAGTTTAACTTTTCTTTTCATTCAGCAGTTTGGAAACACTCTGTTTGTAAAGTCTGCAAGTGGATATCTTGGCCTCTTAGAGGCCTTCATTGGAAACGGGTTTTTTCATGTAAGGTTAGACAGAGGAATTCCCACTAACTTCCTTGTGTTGTGTGCATTCAACTCACAGAGTTGAATGATTCTTTACACAGAGCAGATTTGAGACACTCTTTTGGTGGAATTTGTAAGTGGAGAATTCAGCCGCTTTGATGTCAACGGTAGAAAAGGAAATATCTTCGTATAAAAACTAGACAGAATGATTCTCAGAAACTGTTTTGTGATGTGTGCGTTCAACTCACAGAGTTTAACCTTTCTTTTCAAAGAGCAGTTAGGAAACACTCTGTTTGTAAAGTCTGCAAGTGGATATTCAGACCTCTTTGAGGCCTTCGTTGGAAACGGGATTTCTTCATATTATGCTAGACAGATGAATTCTCAGTAACTTCCTTGTGTTGTGTGTATTCAACTCACAGAGTTGAACGATCCTTTACACAGAGCAGATTTGAAACACTGTTTTTCTGGAATTTGCAAGTGGAGATTTCAGCCGCTTTGAGGTCAATGGTAGAAAAGGAAATATCTTCGTATAAAAACTAGACAGAATGATTCTCAGAAACTCCTTTGTGATGTGTGCGTTCAACTCACAGAGTTTAACCTTTCTTTTCACAGAGCAGTTAGGAAACACTCTGTTTGTGAAGCCTGCCAGTGGATATTCGGACCTCTTTGAGGCCTTCGTTGGAAACGGGATTTCTTCATATTATGCTAGACAGAAGATTTCTCAGTAACTTCTTTGTGTTGTGTGTATGCAACTCACAGAGTTCAACCTTCCTTTAGACAGAGCAGATTTGAAACACTCTTTTTGTGGAATTTGCAAGTGGAGATTTCAAGCGCTTCGATGCCAATGGTAGAAAAGGAAATATCTTCGTATAAAAACAAGACAAACTCGTTCCCAGACACTGCGTAGTGATGTGTGTGTTTAACTCACAGAGTTTCACCTTTCTTTTCATACAGCATTCTGGAAACCCTGTGTTTGTAAAGTCTGCAAGTGGATATTTGGACCTCTTAGATGCCTTCGTTGGAAACGGGATTTCTTCATATAATGCTAGAGGGAAGAATTCTTAGTAACTTCTTTGTGTTGTGTGTATTCAACTGACAGAGTTGAACCTTCCTTTAGACAGAGCAGATTTGAAAGTCTCTTTTTGTGGAATTTGCAAGTGGAGATTTCAAGCGCTTTGAGGCCAAAAGCAGAAAAGGAAATATTTTCCTATAAAAACTCGACAGAATCTTTCTCAGAAACTGCTCTGGGATGTGTGCGTTCAACTCACAGAGTTTAACTTTTCTTTTCATTCTGCAGTTTGGAAACACTCTGTTTGGAAAGTCTGCACGTGGATATTTTGACCTCTTTGAGGCCTTCGTTGGAAACGGGTTTTTTTCATGTAAGGCTAGACAGAAGAAATCTCAGTAACTTCCTTGTGTTGTGTGTATTCAACTGACAGAGTTGAACCTTCCTTTAGACAGAGCAGATTCGAAACACTCTTTTTCTGCAATTTGCAAGTGGAGACTTCAAGCGCTTTGAGGCCAAAGGCAGAAAAGGAAATATCTTCGTATAAAAACCCGACAGAATCATTCTCAGAAACTGCTCTGTGATGTGTGCGTTCAACTCACAGAGTTTAACTTTTCTTTTCATTCAGCAGTTTGGAAACACTCTGTTTGTAAAGTCTGCAAGTGGATATCTTGGCCTCTTAGAGGCCTTCGTTGGAAACGGGTTTTTTCATGTAAGGATAGACAGAGGAATTCCCAGTAACTTCCTTGTGTTGTGTGCATTCAACTCACAGAGTTGAATGATTCTTTACACAGAGCAGATTTGAGACACTCTTTTGGTGGAATTTGTAAGTGGAGAATTCAGCCGCTTTGAGGTCAACGGTAGAAAAGGAAATATCTTCGTATAAAAACTAGACAGAATGATTCTCAGAAACTGTTTTGTGATGTGTGCGTTCAACTCACAGAGTTTAACCTTTCTTTTCAAAGAGCAGTTAGGAAACACTCTGTTTGTAAAGTCTGCAAGTGGATATTCAGACCTCTTTGAGGCCTTCGTTGGAAACGGGATTTCTTCATATTATGCTAGACAGATGAATTCTCAGTAACTTCCTTGTGTTGTGTGTATTCAACTCACAGAGTTGAACGATCCTTTACACAGAGCAGATTTGAAACACTGTTTTTCTGGAATTTGCAAGTGGAGATGTCAGCCGCTTTGAGGTCAATGGTAGAAAAGGAAATATCTTCGTATAAAAACTAGACAGAATGATTCTCAGAAACTCCTTTGTGATGTGTGCGTTCAACTCACAGAGTTTAACCTTTCTTTTCACAGAGCAGTTAGGAAACACTCTGTGAAGCCTGCCAGTGGATATTCGGACCTCTTTGAGGCCTTCGTTGGAAACGGGATTTCTTCATATTATGCTAGACAGAAGATTTCTCAGTAACTTCTTTGTGTTGTGTGTATGCAACTCACAGAGTTCAACCTTCCTTTAGACAGAGCAGATTTGAAACACTCTTTTTGTGGAATTTGCAAGTGGAGATTTCAAGCGCTTCAATGCCAATGGTAGAAAAGGAAATATCTTCGTATAAAAACAAGACAAACTCGTTCCCAGACACTGCGTAGTGATGTGTGTGTTTAACTCACAGAGTTTAACCTTTCTTTTCATACAGCATTCTGGAAACCCTGTGTTTGTAAAGTCTGCAAGTGGATATTTGGACCTCTTAGATGCCTTCGTTGGAAACGGGATTTCTTCATATAATGCTAGAGGGAAGAATTCTTAGTAACTTCTTTGTGTTGTGTGTATTCAACTGACAGAGTTGAACCTTCCTTTAGACAGAGCAGATTTGAAAGTCTCTTTTTGTGGAATTTGCAAGTGGAGATTTCAAGCGCTTTGAGGCCAAAAGCAGAAAAGGAAATATTTTCCTATAAAAACTCGACAGAATCTTTCTCAGAAACTGCTCTGGGATGTGTGCGTTCAACTCACAGAGTTTAACTTTTCTTTTCATTCAGCAGTTTGGAAACACTCTGTTTGGAAAGTCTGCACGTGGATATTTTGACCTCTTTGAGGCCTTCGTTGGAAACGGGTTTTTTTCATGTAAGGCTAGACAGAAGAAATCTCAGTAACTTCCTTGTGTTGTGTGTATTCAACTGACAGAGTTGAACCTTCCTTTAGACAGAGCAGATTCGAAACACTCTTTTTCTGCAATTTGCAAGTGGAGACTTCAAGCGCTTTGAGGCCAAAGGCAGAAAAGGAAATATCTTCGTATAAAAACCCGACAGAATCATTCTCAGAAACTGCTCTGTGATGTGTGCGTTCAACTCACAGAGTTTAACTTTTCTTTTCATTCAGCAGTTTGGAAACACTCTGTTTGTAAAGTCTGCAAGTGGATATCTTGGCCTCTTAGAGGCCTTCGTTGGAAACGGGTTTTTTCATTTAAGGTTAGACAGAGGAATTCCCAGTAACTTCCTTGTGTTGTGTGCATTCAACTCACAGAGTTGAATGATTCTTTACACAGAGCAGATTTGAGACACTGTTGGTGGAATTTGTAAGTGGAGAATTCAGCCGCTTTGAGGTCAATGGTAGAAAAGGAAATATCTTCGTATAAAAACTAGACAGAATGATTCTCAGAAACTGTTTTGTGATGTGTGCGTTCAACTCACAGAGTTTAACCTTTCTTTTCAGAGAGCAGTTAGGAAACACTTTGTTTGTAAAGTCTGCAAGTGGATATTCAGACCTCTTTGAGGCCTTCGTTGGAAACGGGATTTCTTCATATTATGCTAGACAGATGAATTCTCAGTAACTTCCTTGTGTTGTGTGTATTCAACTCACAGAGTTGAACGATCCTTTACAGAGAGCAGATTTGAAACACTGTTTTTCTGGAATTTGCAAGTGGAGATTTCAGCCGATTTGAGGTCAATGGTAGAAAAGGAAATATCTTCGTATAAAAACTAGACAGAATGATTCTCAGAAACTCCTTTGTGATGTGTGCGTTCAACTCACAGAGTTTAACCTTTCTTTTCACAGAGCAGTTAGGAAACACTCTGTTTGTGAAGCCTGCCAGTGGATATTCGGACCTCTTTGAGGCCTTCGTTGGAAACGGGATTTCTTCATATTATGCTAGACAGAAGATTTCTCAGTAACTTCTTTGTGTTGTGTGTATGCAACTCACAGAGTTCAACCTTCCTTTAGACAGAGCAGATTTGAAACACTCTTTTTGTGGAATTTGCAAGTGGAGATTTCAAGCGCTTTGAGGCCAAAAGCAGAAAAGGAAATATTTTCCTATAAAAACTAGACAGAATCTTTCTCAGAAACTGCTCTGTGATGTGTGCGTTCAACTCACAGAGTTTAACTTTTCTTTTCATTCAGCAGTTTGGAAACACTCTGTTTGTAAAGTCTACAAGTGGATATCTTGGCCTCTTAGAGGCCTTCGTTGGAAACGGGTTTTTTCATGTAAGGATAGACAGAGGAATTCCCAGTAACTTCCTTGTGTTGTGTGCATTCAACTCACAGAGTTGAATGATTCTTTACACAGAGCAGATTTGAGACACTCTTTTGGTGGAATTTGTAAGTGGAGAATTCAGCCGCTTTGAGGTCAACGGTAGAAAAGGAAATATCTTCGTATAAAAACTAGACAGAATGATTCTCAGAAACTGTTTTGTGATGTGTGCGTTCAACTCACAGAGTTTAACCTTTCTTTTCAAAGAGCAGTTAGGAAACACTCTGTTTGTAAAGTCTGCAAGAGGATATTCAGACCTCTTTGAGGCCTTCGTTGGAAACGGGATTTCTTCATATTATGCTAGACAGATGAATTCTCAGTAACTTCCTTGTGTTGTGTGTATTCAACTCACAGAGTTGAACGATCCTTTACACAGAGCAGATTTGAAACACTGTTTTTCTGGAATTTGCAAGTGGAGATTTCAGCCGCTTTGAGGTCAATGGTAGAAAAGGAAATATCTTCGTATAAAAACTAGACAGAATGATTCTCAGAAACTCCTTTGTGATGTGTGCGTTCAACTCACAGGGTTTAACCTTTCTTTTCACAGAGCAGTTAGGAAACACTCTGTTTGTGAAGCCTGCCAGTGGATATTCGGACCTCTTTGAGGCCTTCGTTGGAAACGGGATTTCTTCATATTATGCTAGACAGAAGATTTCTCAGTAACTTCTTTGTGTTGTGTGTATGCAACTCACAGAGTTCAACCTTCCTTTAGACAGAGCAGATTTGAAACACTCTTTTTGTGGAATTTGCAAGTGGAGATTTCAAGCGCTTCGATGCCAATGGTAGAAAAGGAAATATCTTCGTATAAAAACAAGACAAACTCGTTCCCAGACACTGCGTAGTGATGTGTGTGTTTAACTCACAGAGTTTAACCTTTCTTTTCATACAGCATTCTGGAAACCCTCTGTTTGTAAAGTCTGCAAGTGGATATTTGGACCTCTTAGATGCCTTCGTTGGGAACGGGATTTCTTCATATAATGCTAGAGGGAAGAATTCTTAGTAACTTCTTTGTGTTGTGTGTATTCAACTGACAGAGTTGAACCTTCCTTTAGACAGAGCAGATTTGAAAGTCTCTTTTTGTGGAATTTGCAAGTGGAGATTTCAAGCGCTTTGAGGCCAAAAGCAGAAAAGGAAATATTTTCCTATAAAAACTAGACAGAATCTTTCTCAGAAACTGCTCTGTGATGTGTGCGTTCAACTCACAGAGTTTAACTTTTCTTTTCATTCAGCAGTTTGGAAACACTCTGTTTGGAAAGTCTGCACGTGGATATTTTGACCTCTTTGAGGCCTTCGTTGGAAACGGGTTATTTTCATGTAACGCTAGAAAGAAGAAATCTCAGTAACTTCCTTGTGTTGTGTGTATTCAACTGACAGAGTTGAACCTTCCTTTAGACAGAGCAGATTCGAAACACTCTTTTTCTGCAATTTGCAAGTGGAGACTTCAAGCGCTTTGAGGCCAAAGGCAGAAAAGGAAATATCTTCGTATAAAAACCCGACAGAATCATTCTCAGAAACTGCTCTGGGATGTGTGCGTTCAACTCACAGAGTTTAACTTTTCTTTTCATTCAGCAGTTTGGAAACACTCTGTTTGTAAAGTCTGCAAGTGGATATCTTGGCCTCTTAGAGGCCTTCGTTGGAAACGGGTTTTTTCATGTAAGGTTAGACAGAGGAATTCCCAGTAACTTCCTTGTGTTGTGTGCATTCAACTCACAGAGTTGAATGATTCTTTACACAGAGCAGATTTGAGACACTCTTTGGGTGGAATTTGTAAGTGGAGAATTCAGCCGCTTTGAGGTCAACGGTAGAAAAGGAAATACCTTCGTATAAAAACTAGACAGAATGATTCTCAGAAACTGTTTTGTGATGTGTGCGTTCAACACACAGAGTTTAACCTTTCTTTTCAAAGAGCAGTTAGGAAACACTCTGTTTGTAAAGTCTGCAAGTGGATATTCAGACCTCTTTGAGGCCTTCGTTGGAAACGGGATTTCTTCATATTATGCTAGACAGATGAATTCTCAGTAACTTCCTTGTGTTGTGTGTATTCAACTCACAGAGTTGAACGATCCTTTACACAGAGCAGATTTGAAACACTGTTTTTCTGGAATTTGCAAGTGGAGATTTCAGCCGCTTTGAGGTCAATGGTAGAAAAGGAAATATCTTCGTATAAAAACTAGACAGAATGATTCTCAGAAACTCCTTTGTGATGTGTGCGTTCAACTCACAGAGTTTAACCTTTCTTTTCACAGAGCAGTTAGGAAACACTCTGTTTGTGAAGCCTGCCAGTGGATATTCGGACCTCTTTGAGGCCTTCGTTGGAAACGGGATTTCTTCATATTATGCTAGACAGAAGATTTCTCAGTAACTTCTTTGTGTTGTGTGTATGCAACTCACAGAGTTCAACCTTCCTTTAGACAGAGCAGATTTGAAACACTCTTTTTGTGGAATTTGCAAGTGGAGATTTCAAGCGCTTCGATGCCAATGGTAGAAAAGGAAATATCTTCGTATAAAAACAAGACAAACTCGTTCCCAGACACTGCGTAGTGATGTGTGTGTTTAACTCACAGAGTTTCACCTTTCTTTTCATACAGCATTCTGGAAACCCTCTGTTTGTAAAGTCTGCAAGTGGATATTTGGACCTCTTAGATGCCTTCGTTGGAAACGGGATTTCTTCATATAATGCTAGAGGGAAGAATTCTTAGTAACTTCTTTGTGTTGTGTGTATTCAACTGACAGAGTTGAACCTTCCTTTAGACAGAGCAGATTTGAAAGGCTCTTTTTGTGGAATTTGCAAGTGGAGATTTCAAGCGCTTTGAGGCCAAAAGCAGAAAAGGAAATATTTTCCTATAAAAACTCGACAGAATCTTTCTCAGAAACTGCTCTGGGATGTGTGCGTTCAACTCACAGAGTTTAACTTTTCTTTTCATTCAGCAGTTTGGAAACACTCTGTTTGGAAAGTCTGCACGTGGATATTTTGACCTCTTTGAGGCCTTCGTTGGAAACGGGTTTTTTTCATGTAAGGCTAGACAGAAGAAATCTCAGTAACTTCCTTGTGTTGTGTGTATTCAACTGACAGAGTTGAACCTTCCTTTAGACAGAGCAGATTCGAAACACTCTTTTTCTGCAATTTGCAAGTGGAGACTTCAAGCGCTTTGAGGCCAAAGGCAGAAAAGGAAATATCTTCGTATAAAAACCCGACAGAATCATTCTCAGAAACTGCTCTGTGATGTGTGCGTTCAACTCACAGAGTTTAACTTTTCTTTTCATTCAGCAGTTTGGAAACACTCTGTTTGTAAAGTCTGCAAGTGGATATCTTGGCCTCTTAGAGGCCTTCGTTGGAAACGGGTTTTATCATGTAAGGTTAGACAGAGGAATTCCCACTAACTTCCTTGTGTTGTGTGCATTCAACTCACAGAGTTGAATGATTCTTTACACAGAGCAGATTTGAGACACTCTTTTGGTGGAATTTGTAAGTGGAGAATTCAGCCGCTTTGAGGTCAACGGTAGAAAAGGAAATATCTTCGTATAAAAACTAGACAGAATGATTCTCAGAAACTGTTTTGTGATGTGTGCGTTCAACTCACAGAGTTTAACCTTTCTTTTCAAAGAGCAGTTAGGAAACACTCTGTTTGTAAAGTCTGCAAGTGGATATTCAGACCTCTTTGAGGCCTTCGTTGGAAACGGGGTTTCTTCATATTATGCTAGACAGATGAATTCTCAGTAACTTCCTTGTGTTGTGTGTATTCAACTCACAGAGTTGAACGATCCTTTACACAGAGCAGATTTGAAACACTGTTTTTCTGGAATTTGCAAGTGGAGATTTCAGCCGCTTTGAGGTCAATGGTAGAAAAGGAAATATCTTCGTATAAAAACTAGACAGAATGGTTCTCAGAAACTCCTTTGTGATGTGTGCGTTCAACTCACAGAGTTTAACCTTTCTTTTCACAGAGCAGTTAGGAAACACTCTGTTTGTGAAGCCTGCCAGTGGATATTCGGACCTCTTTGAGGCCTTCGTTGGAAACGGGATTTCTTCATATTATGCTAGACAGAAGATTTCTCAGTAACTTCTTTGTGTTGTGTGTATGCAACTCACAGAGTTCAACCTTCCTTTAGACAGAGCAGATTTGAAACACTCTTTTTGTGGAATTTGCAAGTGGAGATTTCAAGCGCTTCGATGCCAATGGTAGAAAAGGAAATATCTTCGTATAAAAACAAGACAAACTCGTTCCCAGACACTGCGTAGTGATGTGTGTGTTTAACTCACAGAGTTTCACCTTTCTTTTCATACAGCATTCTGGAAACCCTCTGTTTGTAAAGTCTGCAAGTGGATATTTGGACCTCTTAGATGCCTTCGTTGGAAACGGGATTTCTTCATATAATGCTAGAGGGAAGAATTCTTAGTAACTTCTTTGTGTTGTGTGTATTCAACTGACAGAGTTGAACCTTCCTTTAGACAGAGCAGATTTGAAAGTCTCTTTTTGTGGAATTTGCAAGTGGAGATTTCAAGCGCTTTGAGGCCAAAAGCAGAAAAGGAAATATTTTCCTATAAAAACTAGACAGAATCTTTCTCAGAAACTGCTCTGTGATGTGTGCGTTCAACTCACAGAGTTTAACTTTTCTTTTCATTCAGCAGTTTGGAAACACTCTGTTTGGAAAGTCTGCACGTGGATATTTTGACCTCTTTGAGGCCTTCGTTGGAAACGGGTTTTTTTCATGTAAGGCTAGACAGAAGAAATCTCAATAACTTCCTTGTGTTGTGTGTATTCAACTGACAGAGTTGAACCTTCCTTTAGACAGAGCAGATTCGAAACACTCTTTTTCTGCAATTTGCAAGTGGAGACTTCAAGCGCTTTGAGGCCAAAGGCAGAAAAGGAAATATCTTCGTATAAAAACCCGACAGAATCATTCTCAGAAACTGCTCTGTGATGTGTGCGTTCAACTCACAGAGTTTAACTTTTCTTTTCATTCAGCAGTTTGGAAACACTCTGTTTGTAAAGTCTGCAAGTGGATATCTTGGCCTCCTAGAGGCCTTCGTTGGAAACGGGTTTTTTCATGTAAGGTTAGACAGAGGAATTCCCGGTAACTTCCTTGTGTTGTGTGCATTCAACTCACAGAGTTGAATGATTCTTTACACAGAGCAGATTTGAGACACTCTTTTGGTGGAATTTGTTAGTGGAGAATTCAGCCGCTTTGAGGTCAACGGTAGAAAAGGAAATATCTTCGTATAAAAACTAGACAGAATGATTCTCAGAAACTGTTTTGTGATGTGTGCGTTCAACTCACAGAGTTTAACCTTTCTTTTCAAAGAGCAGTTAGGAAACACTCTGTTTGTAAAGTCTGCAAGTGGATATTCAGACCTCTTTGAGGCCTTCGTTGGAAACGGGATTTCTTCATATTATGCTAGACAGATGAATTCTCAGTAACTTCCTTGTGTTGTGTGTATTCAACTCACAGAGTTGAACGATCCTTTACACAGAGCAGATTTGAAACACTGTTTTTCTGGAATTTGCAAGTGGAGATTTCAGCCGCTTTGAGGTCAATGGTAGAAAAGGAAATATCTTCGTATAAAAACTAGACAGAATGATTCTCAGAAACTCCTTTGTGATGTGTGCGTTCAACTCACAGAGTTTAACCTTTCTTTTCACAGAGCAGTTAGGAAACACTCTGTTTGTGAAGCCTGCCAGTGGATATTCGGACCTCTTTGAGGCCTTCGTTGGAAACGGGATTTCTTCATATTATGCTAGACAGAAGATTTCTCAGTAACTTCTTTGTGTTGTGTGTATGCAACTCACAGAGTTCAACCTTCCTTTAGACAGAGCAGATTTGAAACACTCTTTTTGTGGAATTTGCAAGTGGAGATTTCAAGCGCTTCGATGCCAATGGTAGAAAAGGAAATATCTTCGTATAAAAACAAGACAAACTCGTTCCCAGACACTGCGTAGTGATGTGTGTGTTTAACTCACAGAGTTTCACCTTTCTTTTCATACAGCATTCTGGAAACCCTCTGTTTGTAAAGTCTGCAAGTGGATATTTGGACCTCTTAGATGCCTTCGTTGGAAACGGGATTTCTTCATATAATGCTAGAGGGAAGAATTCTTAGTAACTTCTTTGTGTTGTGTGTATTCAACTGACAGAGTTGAACCTTCCTTTAGACAGAGCAGATTTGAAAGTCTCTTTTTGTGGAATTTGCAAGTGGAGATTTCAAGCGCTTTGAGGCCAAAAGCAGAAAAGGAAATATTTTCCTATAAAAACTCGACAGAATCATTCTCAGAAACTGCTCTGTGATGTGTGCGTTCAACTCACAGAGTTTAACTTTTCTTTTCATTCAGCAGTTTGGAAACACTGTTTGGAAAGTCTGCACGTGGATATTTTGACCTCTTTGAGGCCTTCGTTGGAAACGGGTTTTTTTCATGTAAGGCTAGACAGAAGAAATCTCAGTAACTTCCTTGTGTTGTGTGTATTCAACTGACAGAGTTGAACCTTCCTTTAGACAGAGCAGATTCGAAACACTCTTTTTCTGCAATTTGCAAGTGGAGACTTCAAGCGCTTTGAGGCCAAAGGCAGAAAAGGAAATATCTTCGTATAAAAACCCAACAGAATCATTCTCAGAAACTGCTCTGTGATGTGTGCGTTCAACTCACAGAGTTTAACTTTTCTTTTCATTCAGCAGTTTGGAAACACTCTGTCTGTAAAGTCTGCAAGTGGATATCTTGGCCTCTTAGAGGCCTTCGTTGGAAACGGGTTTTTTCATGTAAGGTTAGACAGAGGAATTCCCAGTAACTTCCTTGTGTTGTGTGCATTCAACTCACAGAGTTGAATGATTCTTTACACAGAGCAGATTTGAGACACTCTTTTGGTGGAATTTGTAAGTGGAGAATTCAGCCGCTTTGAGGTCAACGGTAGAAAAGGAAATATCTTCGTATAAAAACTAGACAGAATGATTCTCAGAAACTGTTTTGTGATGTGTGCGTTCAACTCACAGAGTTTAACCTTTCTTTTCAAAGAGCAGTTAGGAAACACTCTGTTTGTAAAGTCTGCAAGTGGATATTCAGACCTCTTTGAGGCCTTCGTTGGAAACGGGATTTCTTCATATTATGCTAGACAGATGAATTCTCAGTAACTTCCTTGTGTTGTGTGTATTCAACTCACAGAGTTAAACGATCCTTTACACAGAGCAGATTTGAAACACTGTTTTTCTGGAATTTGCAAGTGGAGATTTCAGCCGCTTTGAGGTCAATGGTAGAAAAGGAAATATCTTCGTATAAAAACTAGACAGAATGATTCTCAGAAACTCCTTTGTGATGTGTGCGTTCAACTCACAGAGTTTAACCTTTCTTTTCACAGAGCAGTTAGGAAACACTCTGTTTGTGAAGCCTGCCAGTGGATATTCGGACCTCTTTGAGGCCTTCGTTGGAAACGGGATTTCTTCATATTATGCTAGACAGAAGATTTCTCAGTAACTTCTTTGTGTTGTGTGTATGCAACTCACAGAGTTCAACCTTCCTTTAGACAGAGCAGATTTGAAACACTCTTTTTGTGGAATTTGCAAGTGGAGATTTCAAGCGCTTCGATGCCAATGGTAGAAAAGGAAATATCTTCGTATAAAAACAAGACAAACTCGTTCCCAGACACTGCGTAGTGATGTGTGTGTTTAACTCACAGAGTTTAACCTTTCTTTTCATACAGCATTCTGGAAACCCTCTGTTTGTAAAGTCTGCAAGTGGATATTTGGACCTCTTAGATGCCTTCGTTGGAACGGGATTTCCTCATATAATGCTAGAGGGAAGAATTCTTAGTAACTTCTTTGTGTTGTGTGTATTCAACTGACAGAGTTGAACCTTCCTTTAGACAGAGCAGATTTGAAAGTCTCTTTTTGTGGAATTTGCAAGTGGAGATTTCAAGCGCTTTGAGGCCAAAAGCAGAAAAGGAAATATTTTCCTATAAAAACTAGACAGAATCTTTCTCAGAAACTGCTCTGGGATGTGTGCGTTCAACTCACAGAGTTTAACTTTTCTTTTCATTCAGCAGTTTGGAAACACTCTGTTTGGAAAGTCTGCACGTGGATATTTTGACCTCTTTGAGGCCTTCGTTGGAAACGGGTGTTTTTCATGTAAGGCTAGACAGAAGAAATCTCAGTAACTTCCTTGTGTTGTGTGTATTCAACTGACAGAGTTGAACCTTCCTTTAGACAGAGCAGATTCGAAACACTCTTTTTCTGCAATTTGCAAGTGGAGACTTCAAGCGCTTTGAGGCCAAAGGCAGAAAAGGATATATCTTCGTATAAAAACCCGACAGAATCATTCTCAGAAACTGCTCTGTGATGTGTGCGTTCAACTCACAGAGTTTAACTTTTCTTTTCATTCAGCAGTTTGGAAACACTCTGTTTGTAAAGTCTGCAAGTGGATATCTTGGCCTCTTAGAGGCCTTCGTTGGAAACGGGTTTTTTCATGTAAGGTTAGACAGAGGAATTCCCAGTAACTTCCTTGTGTTGTGTGCATTCAACTCACAGAGTTGAATGATTCTTTACACAGAGCAGATTTGAGACACTCTTTGGGTGGAATTTGTAAGTGGAGAATTCAGCCGCTTTGAGGTCAACGGTAGAAAAGGAAATATCTTCGTATAAAAACTAGACAGAATGATTCTCAGAAACTGTTTTGTGATGTGTGCGTTCAACTCACAGAGTTTAACCTTTCTTTTCAAAGAGCAGTTAGGAAACACTCTGTAAAGTCTGCAAGTGGATATTCAGACCTCTTTGAGGCCTTCGTTGGAAACGGGATTTCTTCATATTATGCTAGACAGATGAATTCTCAGTAACTTCCTTGTGTTGTGTGTATTCAACTCACAGAGTTGAACGATCCTTTACACAGAGCAGATTTGAAACACTGTTTTTCTGGAATTTGCAAGTGGAGATTTCAGCCGCTTTGAGGTCAATGGTAGAAAAGGAAATATCTTCGTATAAAAACTAGACAGAATGATTCTCAGAAACTCCTTTGTGATGTGTGCGTTCAACTCACAGAGTTTAACCTTTCTTTTCACAGAGCAGTTAGGAAACACTCTGTTTGTGAAGCCTGCCAGTGGATATTCGGACCTCTTTCAGGCCTTCGTTGGAAACGGGATTTCTTCATATTATGCTAGACAGAAGATTTCTCAGTAACTTCTTTGTGTTGTGTGTATGCAAATCACAGAGTTCAACCTTCCTTTAGACAGAGCAGATTTGAAACACTCTTTTTGTGGAATTTGCAAGTGGAGATTTCAAGCGCTTCGATGCCAATGGTAGAAAAGGAAATATCTTCGTATAAAAACAAGACAAACTCGTTCCCAGACACTGCGTAGTGATGTGTGTGTTTAACTCACAGAGTTTCACCTTTCTTTTCATACAGCATTCTGGAAACCCTCTGTTTGTAAAGTCTGCAAGTCGATATTTGGACCTCTTAGATGCCTTCGTTGGAAACGGGATTTCTTCATATAATGCTAGAGGGAAGAATTCTTAGTAACTTCTTTGTGTTGTGTGTATTCAACTGACAGAGTTGAACCTTCCTTTAGACAGAGCAGATTTGAAAGTCTCTTTTTGTGGAATTTGCAAGTGGAGATTTCAAGCGCTTTGAGGCCAAAAGCAGAAAAGGAAATATTTTCCTATAAAACCTCGACAGAATCTTTCTCAGAAACTGCTCTGGGATGTGTGCGTTCAACTCACAGAGTTTAACTTTTCTTTTCATTCAGCAGTTTGGAAACACTCTGTTTGGAAAGTCTGCACGTGGATATTTTGACCTCTTTGAGGCCTTCGTTGGAAACGGGTTTTTTTCATGTAAGGCTAGACAGAAGAAATCTCAGTAACTTCCTTGTGTTGTGTGTATTCAACTGACAGAGTTGAACCTTCCTTTAGACAGAGCAGATTCGAAACACTCTTTTTCTGCAATTTGCAAGTGGAGACTTCAAGCGCTTTGAGGCCAAAGGCAGAAAAGGAAATATCTTCGTATAAAAACCCGACAGAATCTTTCTCAGAAACTGCTCTGTGATGTGTGCGTTCAACTCACAGAGTTTAACTTTTCTTTTCATTCAGCAGTTTGGAAACACTCTCTTTGTAAAGTCTGCAAGGGGATATATTGGCCTCTTAGAGGCCTTCGTGGGAAACGGGTTTTTTTCATGTAAGGTTAGACAGAGGAATTCACAGTAACTTCCCTTGTGTTGTGTGCATTCAACTCACAGAGTTGAATGATTCTTTACACAGAGCAGATTTGAGACACTCTTTTGGTGGAATTTGTAAGTGGAGAATTCAGCCGCTTTGAGGTCAATGGTAGAAAAGGAAATATCTTCGTATAAAAACTAGACAGAATGATTCTCAGAAACTGTTTTGTGATGTGTGCGTTCAACTCACAGAGTTTAACCTTTCTTTTCAAAGAGCAGTTAGGAAACACTCTGTTTGTAAAGTCTGCAACTGGATATTCAGAACTCTTTGAGGCCTTCGTTGGAAACGGGATTTCTTCATATTATGCTAGACAGATGAATTCTCAGTAATTTCCTTGTGTTGTGTGTATTCAACTCACAGAGTTGAACGATCCTTTACACAGAGCAGATTTGAAACACTCTTTTTCTGGAATCTGCAAGTGGAGATTTCAGCCGCTTTGAGGTCAATGGTAGAAAAGGAAATATCTTCGTATAAAAACTAGACAGAATGATTCTCAGAAACTCCTTTGTGATGTGTGCGTTCAACTCACAGAGTTTAACCTTTCTTTTCACAGAGCAGTTGGGAAACACTCTGTTTGTTAAGTCTGCCAGTGGATATTCGGACCTCTTTGAGGCCTTCGTTGGAAACGGGAGTTCTTCATATTATGCTAGACAGATTTCTCAGTAACTACTTTGTGTTGTGTGTATGCATCTCACAGAGTTCAACCTTCCTTTAGAGATAGCAGATTTGAAACACTCTTTTTGTTGAATTTGCAAGTGGAGATTTCAAGCGCTTCGATGCCAATGGTAGAAAAGGAAATATCTTCGTAGAAAAACAAGACAAACTCGTTCCCAGACACTGCGTAGTGATGTGTGTGTTTAACTCACAGAGTTTAACCTTTCTTTTCATACAGCATTCTGGAAACCCTCTGTTTGTAAAGTCTGCAAGTGGATATTTGGACCTCTTAGATGCCTTCGTTGGAAACGGGATTTCTTCATATAATGCTAGAGGGAAGAATTCTTAGTAACTTCTTTGTGTTGTGTGTATTCAACTGACAGAGTTGAACCTTCCTTTAGACAGAGCAGATTTGAAAGTCTCTTTTTGTGGAATTTGCAAGTGGAGATTTCAAGCGCTTTGAGGCCAAAAGCAGAAAAGGAAATATTTTCCTATAAAAACTAGACAGAATCTTTCTCAGAAACTGCTCTGGGATGTGTGTGTTCAACTCACACAGTTTAACTTTTCTTTTCATTCAGCAGTTTGGAAACACTCTGTTTGGAAAGTCTGCACGTGGATATTTTGACCTCTTTGAGGCCTTCGTTGGAAACGGGTTTTTTTCATGTAAGGCTAGACAGAAGAAATCTCAGTAACTTCCTTGTGTTGTGTGTATTCAACTGACAGAGTTGAACCTTCCTTTAGACAGAGCAGATTCGAAACACTCTTTTTCTGCAATTTGCAAGTGGAGACTTCAAGCGCTTTGAGGCCAAAGGCAGAAAAGGAAATATCTTCGTATAAAAACCCGACAGAATCATTCTCAGAAACTGCTCTGTGATGTGTGCGTTCAACTCACAGAGTTTAACTTTTCTTTTCATTCAGCAGTTTGGAAACACTCTGTTTGTAAAGTCTGCAAGTGGATATCTTGGCCTCTTAGAGGCCTTCGTTGGAAACGGGTTTTTTCATGTAAGGATAGACAGAGGAATTCCCAGTAACTTCCTTGTGTTGTGTGCATTCAACTCACAGAGTTGAATGATTCTTTACACAGAGCAGATTTGAGACACTCTTTTGGTGGAATTTGTAAGTGGAGAATTCAGCCGCTTTGAGGTCAACGGTAGAAAAGGAAATATCTTCGTATAAAAACTAGACAGAATGATTCTCAGAAACTGTTTTGTGATGTGTGCGTTCAACTCACAGAGTTTAACCTTTCTTTTCAAAGAGCAGTTAGGAAACACTCTGTTTGTAAAGTCTGCAAGTGGATATTCAGACCTCTTTGAGGCCTTCGTTGGAAACGGGATTTCTTCATATTATGCTAGACAGATGAATTCTCAGTAACTTCCTTGTGTTGTGTGTATTCAACTCACAGAGTTGAACGATCCTTTACACAGAGCAGATTTGAAACACTGTTTTTCTGGAATTTGCAAGTGGAGATTTCAGCCGCTTTGAGGTCAATGGTAGAAAAGGAAATATCTTCGTATAAAAACTAGACAGAATGATTCTCAGAAACTCCTTTGTGATGTGTGCGTTCAACTCACAGAGTTTAACCTTTCTTTTCACAGAGCAGTTAGGAAACACTCTGTTTGTGAAGCCTGCCAGTGGATATTCGGACCTCTTTGAGGCCTTCGTTGGAAACGGGATTTCTTCATATTATGCTAGACAGAAGATTTCTCAGTAACTTCTTTGTGTTGTGTGTATGCAACTCACAGAGTTCAACCTTCCTTTAGACAGAGCAGATTTGAAACACTCTTTTTGTGGAATTTGCAAGTGGAGATTTCAAGCGCTTCGATGCCAATGGTAGAAAAGGAAATATCTTCGTATAAAAACAAGACAAACTCGTTCCCAGACACTGCGTAGTGATGTGTGTGTTTAACTCACAGAGTTTCACCTTTCTTTTCATACAGCATTCTGGAAACCCTGTGTTTGTAAAGTCTGCAAGTGGATATTTGGACCTCTTAGATGCCTTCGTTGGAAACGGGATTTCTTCATATAATGCTAGAGGGAAGAATTCTTAGTAACTTCTTTGTGTTGTGTGTATTCAACTGACAGAGTTGAACCTTCCTTTAGACAGAGCAGATTTGAAAGTCTCTTTTTGTGGAATTTGCAAGTGGAGATTTCAAGCGCTTTGAGGCCAAAAGCAGAAAAGGAAATATTTTCCTATAAAAACTCGACAGAATCTTTCTCAGAAACTGCTCTGGGATGTGTGCGTTCAACTCACAGAGTTTAACTTTTCTTTTCATTCAGCAGTTTGGAAACACTCTGTTTGGAAAGTCTGCACGTGGATATTTTGACCTCTTTGAGGCCTTCGTTGGAAACGGGTTTTTTTCATGTAAGGCTAGACAGAAGAAATCTCAGTAACTTCCTTGTGTTGTGTGTATTCAACTGACAGAGTTGAACCTTCCTTTAGACAGAGCAGATTCGAAACACTCTTTTTCTGCAATTTGCAAGTGGAGACTTCAAGCGCTTTGAGGCCAAAGGCAGAAAAGGAAATATCTTCGTATAAAAACCCGACAGAATCATTCTCAGAAACTGCTCTGTGATGTGTGCGTTCAACTCACAGAGTTTAACTTTTCTTTTCATTCAGCAGTTTGGAAACACTCTGTTTGTAAAGTCTGCAAGTGGATATCTTGGCCTCTTAGAGGCCTTCGTTGGAAACGGGTTTTTTCATGTAAGGATAGACAGAGGAATTCCCAGTAACTTCCTTGTGTTGTGTGCATTCAACTCACAGAGTTGAACGATTCTTTACACAGAGCAGATTTGAGACACTCTTTTGGTGGAATTTGTAAGTGGAGAATTCAGCCGCTTTGAGGTCAACGGTAGAAAAGGAAATATCTTCGTATAAAAACTAGACAGAATGATTCTCAGAAACTGTTTTGTGATGTGTGCGTTCAACTCACAGAGTTTAACCTTTCTTTTCAAAGAGCAGTTAGGAAACACTCTGTAAAGTCTGCAAGTGGATATTCAGACCTCTTTGAGGCCTTCGTTGGAAACGGGATTTCTTCATATTATGCTAGACAGATGAATTCTCAGTAACTTCCTTGTGTTGTGTGTATTCAACTCACAGAGTTGAACGATCCTTTACACAGAGCAGATTTGAAACACTGTTTTTCTGGAATTTGCAAGTGGAGATTTCAGCCGCTTTGAGGTCAATGGTAGAAAAGGAAATATCTTCGTATAAAAACTAGACAGAATGATTCTCAGAAACTCCTTTGTGATGTGTGCGTTCAACTCACAGAGTTTAACCTTTCTTTTCACAGAGCAGTTAGGAAACACTCTGTTTGTGAAGCCTGCCAGTGGATATTCGGACCTCTTTGAGGCCTTCGTTGGAAACGGGATTTCTTCATATTATGCTAGACAGAAGATTTCTCAGTAACTTCTTTGTGTTGTGTGTATGCAACTCACAGAGTTCAACCTTCCTTTAGACAGAGCAGATTTGAAACACTCTTTTTGTGGAATTTGCAAGTGGAGATTTCAAGCGCTTTGAGGCCAAAAGCAGAAGAGGAAATATTTTCCTATAAAAACTAGACAGAATCTTTCTCAGAAACTGCTCTGGGATGTGTGCGTTCAACTCACAGAGTTTAACTTTTCTTTTCATTCAGCAGTTTGGAAACACTCTGTTTGGAAAGTCTGCACGTGGATATTTTGACCTCTTTGAGGCCTTCGTTGGAAACGGGTTTTTTTCATGTAAGGCTAGACAGAAGAAATCTCAGTAACTTCCTTGTGTTGTGTGTATTCAACTGACAGAGTTGAACCTTCCTTTAGACAGAGCAGATTCGAAACACTCTTTTTCTGCAATTTGCAAGTGGAGACTTCAAGCGCTTTGAGGCCAAAGGCAGAAAAGGAAATATCTTCGTATAAAAACCCGACAGAATCATTCTCAGAAACTGCTCTGTGATGTGTGCGTTCAACTCACAGAGTTTAACTTTTCTTTTCATTCAGCAGTTTGGAAACACTCTGTTTGTAAAGTCTGCAAGTGGATATCTTGGCCTCTTAGAGGCCTTCGTTGGAAACGGGTTTTTTCATGTAAGGATAGACAGAGGAATTCCCAGTAACTTCCTTGTGTTGTGTGCATTCAACTCACAGAGTTGAATGATTCTTTACACAGAGCAGATTTGAGACACTCTTTTGGTGGAATTTGTAAGTGGAGAATTCAGCCGCTTTGAGGTCAACGGTAGAAAAGGAAATATCTTCGTATAAAAACTAGACAGAATGATTCTCAGAAACTGTTTTGTGATGTGTGCGTTCAACTCACACAGTTTAACCTTTCTTTTCAGAGAGCAGTTAGGAAACACTCTGTTTGTAAAGTCTGCAAGTGGATATTCAGACCTCTTTGAGGCCTTCGTTGGAAACGGGATTTCTTCATATTATGCTAGACAGATGAATTCTCAGTAACTTCCTTGTGTTGTGTGTATTCAACTCACAGAGTTGAACGATCCTTTACACAGAGCAGATTTGAAACACTGTTTTTCTGGAATTTGCAAGTGGAGATTTCAGCCGATTTGAGGTCAATGGTAGAAAAGGAAATATCTTCGTATAAAAACTAGACAGAATGATTCTCAGAAACTCCTTTGTGATGTGTGCGTTCAACTCACAGAGTTTAACCTTTCTTTTCACAGAGCAGTTAGGAAACACTCTGTTTGTGAAGCCTGCCAGTGGATATTCGGACCTCTTTGAGGCCTTCGTTGGAAACGGGATTTCTTCATATTATGCTAGACAGAAGATTTCTCAGTAACTTCTTTGTGTTGTGTGTATGCAACTCACAGAGTTCAACCTTCCTTTAGACAGAGCAGATTTGAAACACTCTTTTTGTGGAATTTGCAAGTGGAGATTTCAAGCGCTTCGATGCCAATGGTAGAAAAGGAAATATCTTCGTATAAAAACAAGACAAACTCGTTCCCAGACACTGCGTAGTGATATGTGTGTTTAACTCACAGAGTTTCACCTTTCTTTTCATACAGCATTCTGGAAACCGTGTGTTTGTAAAGTCTGCAAGTGGATATTTGGACCTCTTAGATGCCTTCGTTGGAAACGGGATTTCTTCATATAATGCTAGAGGGAAGAATTCTTAGTAACTTCTTTGTGTTGTGTGTATTCAACTGACAGAGTTGAACCTTCCTTTAGACAGAGCAGATTTGAAAGTCTCTTTTTGTGGAATTTGCAAGTGGAGATTTCAAGCGCTTTGAGGCCGAAAGCAGAAAAGGAAATATTTTCCTATAAAAACTCGACAGAATCTTTCTCAGAAACTGCTCTGGGATGTGTGCGTTCAACTCACAGAGTTTAACTTTTCTTTTCATTCAGCAGTTTGGAAACACTCTGTTTGGAAAGTCTGCACGTGGATATTTTGACCTCTTTGAGGCCTTCGTTGGAAACGGGTTTTTTTCATGTAAGGCTAGACAGAAGAAATCTCAGTAACTTCCTTGTGTTGTGTGTATTCAACTGACAGAGTTGAACCTTCCTTTAGACAGAGCAGATTCGAAACACTCTTTTTCTGCAATTTGCAAGTGGAGACTTCAAGCGCTTTGAGGCCAAAGGCAGAAAAGGAAATATCTTCGTATAAAAACCCGACAGAATCATTCTCAGAAACTGCTCTGTGATGTGTGCGTTCAACTCACAGAGTTTAACTTTTCTTTTCATTCAGCAGTTTGGAAACACTCTGTTTGTAAAGTCTGCAAGTGGATATCTTGGCCTCTTAGAGGCCTTCGTTGGAAACGGGTTTTTTCATGTAAGGTTAGACAGAGGAATTCCCAGTAACTTCCTTGTGTTGTGTGCATTCAACTCACAGAGTTGAATGATTCTTTACACAGAGCAGTTTTGAGACACTCTTTTGGTGGAATTTGTAAGTGGAGAATTCAGCCGCTTTGATGTCAACGGTAGAAAAGGAAATATCTTCGTATAAAAACTAGACAGAATGATTCTCAGAAACTGTTTTGTGATGTGTGCGTTCAACTCACAGAGTTTAACCTTTCTTTTCAAAGAGCAGTTAGGAAACACTCTGTTTGTAAAGTCTGCAAGTGGATATTCAGACCTCTTTGAGGCCTTCGTTGGAAACGGGATTTCTTCATATTATGCTAGACAGATGAATTCTCAGTAACTTCCTTGTGTTGTGTGTATTCAACTCACAGAGTTGAACGATCCTTTACACAGAGCAGATTTGAAACACTGTTTTTCTGGAATTTGCAAGTGGAGATTTCAGCCGCTTTGAGGTCAATGGTAGAAAAGGAAATATCTTCGTATAAAAACTAGACAGAATGATTCTCAGAAACTCCTTTGTGATGTGTGCGTTCAACTCACAGGGTTTAACCTTTCTTTTCACAGAGCAGTTAGGAAACACTCTGTTTGTGAAGCCTGCCAGTGGATATTCGGACCTCTTTGAGGCCTTCGTTGGAAACGGGATTTCTTCATATTATGCTAGACAGAAGATTTCTCAGTAACTTCTTTGTGTTGTGTGTATGCAACTCACAGAGTTCAACCTTCCTTTAGACAGAGCAGATTTGAAACACTCTTTTTGTGGAATTTGCAAGTGGAGATTTCAAGCGCTTCGATGCCAATGGTAGAAAAGGAAATATCTTCGTATAAAAACAAGACAAACTCGTTCCCAGACACTGCGTAGTGATGTGTGTGTTTAACTCACAGAGTTTCACCTTTCTTTTCATACAGCATTCTGGAAACCCTCTGTTTGTAAAGTCTGCAAGTGGATATTTGGACCTCTTAGATGCCTTCGTTGCAAACGGGATTTCTTCATATAATGCTAGAGGGAAGAATTCTTAGTAACTTCTTTGTGTTGTGTGTATTCAACTGACAGAGTTGAACCTTCCTTTAGACAGAGCAGATTTGAAAGTCTCTTTTTGTGGAATTTGCAAGTGGAGATTTCAAGCGCTTTGAGGCCAAAAGCAGAAAAGGATATATTTTCCTATAAAAACTCGACAGAATCTTTCTCAGAAACTGCTCTGGGATGTGTGCGTTCAACTCACAGAGTTTAACTTTTCTTTTCATTCAGCAGTTTGGAAACACTCTGTTTGGAAAGTCTGCACGTGGATATTTTGACCTCTTTGAGGCCTTCGTTGGAAACGGGTTTTTTTCATGTAAGGCTAGACAGAAGAAATCTCAGTAACTTCCTTGTGTTGTGTGTATTCAACTGACAGAGTTGAACCTTCCTTTAGACAGAGCAGATTCGAAACACTCTTTTTCTGCAATTTGCAAGTGGAGACTTCAAGCGCTTTGAGGCCAAAGGCAGAAAAGGAAATATCTTCGTATAAAAACCCGACAGAATCATTCTCAGAAACTGCTCTGTGATGTGTGCGTTCAACTCACAGAGTTTAACTTTTCTTTTCATTCAGCAGTTTGGAAACACTCTGTTTGTAAAGTCTGCAAGTGGATATCTTGGCCTCTTAGAGGCCTTCGTTGGAAACGGGTTTTTTCATGTAAGGTTAGACAGAGGAATTCCCAGTAACTTCCTTGTGTTGTGTGCATTCAACTCACAGAGTTGAATGATTCTTTACACAGAGCAGATTTGAGACACTCTTTTGGTGGAATTTGTAAGTGGAGAATTCAGCCGCTTTGAGGTCAACGGTAGAAAAGGAAATATCTTCGTATAAAAACTAGACAGAATGATTCTCAGAAACTGTTTTGTGATGTGTGCGTTCAACTCACAGAGTTTAACCTTTCTTTTCAAAGAGCAGTTAGGAAACACTCTGTTTGTAAAGTCTGCAAGTGGATATTCAGACCTCTTTGAGGCCTTCGTTGGAAACGGGATTTCTTCATATTATGCTAGACAGATGAATTCTCAGTAACTTCCTTGTGTTGTGTGTATTCAACTCACAGAGTTGAACGATCCTTTACACAGAGCAGATTTGAAACACTGTTTTTCTGGAATTTGCAAGTGGAGATTTCAGCCGCTTTGAGGTCAATGGTAGAAAAGGAAATATCTTCGTATAAAAACTAGACAGAATGATTCTCAGAAACTCCTTTGTGATGTGTGCGTTCAACTCACAGAGTTTAACCTTTCTTTTCACAGAGCAGTTAGGAAACACTCTGTTTGTGAAGCCTGCCAGTGGATATTCGGACCTCTTTGAGGCCTTCGTTGGAAACGGGATTTCTTCATATTATGCTAGACAGAAGATTTCTCAGTAACTTCTTTGTGTTGTGTGTATGCAACTCACAGAGTTCAACCTTCCTTTAGACAGAGCAGATTTGAAACACTCTTTTTGTGGAATTTGCAAGTGGAGATTTCAAGCGCTTCGATGCCAATGGTAGAAAAGGAAATATCTTCGTATAAAAACAAGACAAACTCGTTCCCAGACACTGCGTAGTGATGTGTGTGTTTAACTCACAGAGTTTCACCTTTCTTTTCATACAGCATTCTGGAAACCCTCTGTTTGTAAAGTCTGCAAGTGGATATTTGGACCTCTTAGATGCCTTCGTTGGAAACGGGATTTCTTCATATAATGCTAGAGGGAAGAATTCTTAGTAACTTCTTTGTGTTGTGTGTATTCAACTGACAGAGTTGAACCTTCCTTTAGACAGAGCAGATTTGAAAGTCTCTTTTTGTGGAATTTGCAAGTGGAGATTTCAAGCGCTTTGAGGCCAAAAGTAGAAAAGGAAATATTTTCCTATAAAAACTCGACAGAATCTTTCTCAGAAACTGCTCTGGGATGTGTGCGTTCAACTCACAGAGTTTAACTTTTCTTTTCATTCAGCAGTTTGGAAACACTCTGTTTGGAAAGTCTGCACGTGGATATTTTGACCTCTTTGAGGCCTTCGTTGGAAACGGGTTTTTTTCATGTAAGGCTAGACAGAAGAAATCTCAGTAACTTCCTTGTGTTGTGTGTATTCAACTGACAGAGTTGAACCTTCCTTTAGACAGAGCAGATTCGAAACACTCTTTTTCTGCAATTTGCAAGTGGAAACTTCAAGCGCTTTGAGGCCAAAGGCAGAAAAGGAAATATCTTCGTATAAAAACCCGACAGAATCATTCTCAGAAACTGCTCTGTGATGTGTGCGTTCAACTCACAGAGTTTAACTTTTCTTTTCATTCAGCAGTTTGGAAACACTCTGTTTGTAAAGTCTGCAAGTGGATATCTTGGCCTCTTAGAGGCCTTCATTGGAAACGGGTTTTTTCATGTAAGGTTAGACAGAGGAATTCCCAGTAACTTCCTTGTGTTGTGTGCATTCAACTCACAGAGTTGAATGATTCTTTACACAGAGCAGATTTGAGACACTCTTTTGGTGGAATTTGTAAGTGGAGAATTCAGCCGCTTTGAGGTCAACGGTAGAAAAGGAAATATCTTCGTATAAAAACTAGACAGAATGATTCTCAGAAACTGTTTTGTGATGTGTGCGTTCAACTCACAGAGTTTAACCTTTCTTTTCAAAGAGCAGTTAGGAAACACTCTGTTTGTAAAGTCTGCAAGTGGATATTCAGACCTCTTTGAGGCCTTCGTTGGAAACGGGATTTCTTCATATTATGCTAGACAGATGAATTCTCAGTAACTTCCTTGTGTTGTGTGTATTCAACTCACAGAGTTGAACGATCCTTTACACAGAGCAGATTTGAAACACTGTTTTTCTGGAATTTGCAAGTGGAGATTTCAGCCGCTTTGAGGTCAATGGTAGAAAAGGAAATATCTTCGTATAAAAACTAGACAGAATGATTCTCAGAAACTCCTTTGTGATGTGTGCGTTCAACTCACAGAGTTTAACCTTTCTTTTCACAGAGCAGTTAGGAAACACTCTGTTTGTGAAGCCTGCCAGTGGATATTCAGACCTCTTTGAGGCCTTCGTTGGAAACGGGATTTCTTCATATTATGCTAGACAGAAGATTTCTCAGTAACTTCTTTGTGTTGTGTGTATGCACCTCACAGAGTTCAACCTTCCTTTAGACAGAGCAGATTTGAAACACTCTTTTTGTGGAATTTGCAAGTGGAGATTTCAAGCGCTTCGATGCCAATGGTAGAAAAGGAAATATCTTCGTATAAAAACAAGACAAACTCGTTCCCAGACACTGCGTAGTGATGTGTGTGTTTAACTCACAGAGTTTCACCTTTCTTTTCATACAGCATTCTGGAAACCCTCTGTTTGTAAAGTCTGCAAGTGGATATTTGGACCTCTTAGATGCCTTCGTTGGAAACGGGATTTCTTCATATAATGCTAGAGGGAAGAATTCTTAGTAACTTCTTTGTGTTGTGTGTATTCAACTGACAGAGTTGAACCTTCCTTTAGACAGAGCAGATTTGAAAGTCTCTTTTTGTGGAATTTGCAAGTGGAGATTTCAAGCGCTTTGAGGCCAAAAGCAGAAAAGGAAATATTTTCCTATAAAAACTAGACAGAATCTTTCTCAGAAACTGCTCTGGGATGTGTGCGTTCAACTCACAGAGTTTAACTTTTCTTTTCATTCAGCAGTTTGGAAACACTCTGTTTGGAAAGTCTGCACGTGGATATTTTGACCTCTTTGAGGCCTTCGTTGGAAACGGGTTTTTTTCATGTAAGGCTAGACAGAAGAAATCTCAGTAACTTTCCTTGTGTTGTGTGTATTCAACTGACAGAGTTGAACCTTCTTTTAGACAGAGCAGATTCGAAACACTCTTTTTCTGCAATTTGCAAGTGGAGACTTCAAGCGCTTTGAGGCCAAAGGCAGAAAAGGAAATATCTTCGTATAAAAACCCGACAGAATCATTCTCAGAAACTGCTCTGTGATGTGTGCGTTCAACTCACAGAGTTTAACTTTTCTTTTCATTCAGCAGTTTGGAAACACTCTGTTTGTAAAGTCTGCAAGTGGATATCTTGGCCTCTTAGAGGCCTTCGTTGGAAACGGGTTTTTTCATGTAAGGTTAGACAGAGGAATTCCCAGTAACTTCCTTGTGTTGTGTGCATTCAACTCACAGAGTTGAATGATTCTTTACACAGAGCAGATTTGAGACACTCTTTTGGTGGAATTTGTTAGTGGAGAATTCAGCCGCTTTGAGGTCAACGGTAGAAAAGGAAATATCTTCGTATAAAAACTAGACAGAATGATTCTCAGAAACTGTTTTGTGATGTGTGCGTTCAACTCACAGAGTTTAACCTTTCTTTTCAAAGAGCAGTTAGGAAACACTCTGTTTGTAAAGTCTGCAAGTGGATATTCAGACCTCTTTGAGGCCTTCGTTGGAAACGGGATTTCTTCATATTATGCTAGACAGATGAATTCTCAGTAACTTCCCTTGTGTTGTGTGTATTCAACTCACAGAGTTGAACGATCCTTTACACAGAGCAGATTTGAAACACTGTTTTTCTGGAATTTGCAAGTGGAGATTTCAGCCGCTTTGAGGTCAATGGTAGAAAAGGAAATATCTTCGTATAAAAACTAGACAGAATGATTCTCAGAAACTCCTTTGTGATGTGTGCGTTCAACTCACAGAGTTTAACCTTTCTTTTCACAGAGCAGTTAGGAAACACTCTGTTTGTGAAGCCTGCCAGGGGATATTCGGACCTCTTTGAGGCCTTCGTTGGAAACGGGATTTCTTCATATTATGCTAGACAGAAGATTTCTCAGTAACTTCTTTGTGTTGTGTGTATGCAACTCACAGAGTTCAACCTTCCTTTAGACAGAGCAGATTTGAAACACTCTTTTTGTGGAATTTGCAAGTGGAGATTTCAAGCGCTTCGATGCCAATGGTAGAAAAGGAAATATCTTCGTATAAAAACAAGACAAACTCGTTCCCAGACACTGCGTAGTGATGTGTGTGTTTAACTCACAGAGTTTAACCTTTCTTTTCATACAGCATTCTGGAAACCCTCTGTTTGTAAAGTCTGCAAGTGGATATTTGGACCTCTTAGATGCCTTCGTTGGAAACGGGATTTCTTCATATAATGCTAGAGGGAAGAATTCTTAGTAACTTCTTTGTGTTGTGTGTATTCAACTGACAGAGTTGAACCTTCCTTTAGACAGAGCAGATTTGAAAGTCTCTTTTTGTGGAATTTGCAAGTGGAGATTTCAAGCGCTTTGAGGCCAAAAGCAGAAAAGGAAATATTTTCCTATAAAAACTAGACAGAATCTTTCTCAGAAACTGCTCTGGGATGTGTGCGTTCAACTCACAGAGTTTAACTTTTCTTTTCATTCAGCAGTTTGGAAACACTCTGTTTGGAAAGTCTGCACGTGGATATTTTGACCTCTTTGAGGCCTTCGTTGGAAACGGGTTTTTTTCATGTAAGGCTAGACAGAAGAAATCTCAGTAACTTCTTTGTGTTGTGTGTATTCAACTGACAGAGTTGAACCTTCCTTTAGACAGAGCAGATTCGAAACACTCTTTTTCTGCAATTTGCAAGTGGAGACTTCAAGCGCTTTGAGGCCAAAGGCAGAAAAGGAAATATCTTCGTATAAAAACCCGACAGAATCATTCTCAGAAACTGCTCTGTGATGTGTGCGTTCAACTCACAGAGTTTAACTTTTCTTTTCATTCAGCAGTTTGGAAACACTCTGTTTGTAAAGTCTGCAAGTGGATATCTTGGCCTCTTAGAGGCCTTCGTTGGAAGCGGGTTTTTTCATGTAAGGATAGACAGAGGAATTCCCAGTAACTTCCTTGTGTTGTGTGCATTCAACTCACAGAGTTGAATGATTCTTTACACAGAGCAGATTTGAGACACTCTTTTGGTGGAATTTGAAAGTGGAGAATTCAGCCGCTTTGAGGTCAACGGTAGAAAAGGAAATATCTTCGTATAAAAACTAGACAGAATGATTCTCAGAAACTGTTTTGTGATGTGTGCTTTCAACTCACAGAGTTTAACCTTTCTTTTCAAAGAGCAGTTAGGAAACACTCTGTTTGTAAAGTCTGCAAGTGGATATTCAGACCTCTTTGAGGCCTTCGTTGGAAACGGGATTTCTTCATATTATGCTAGACAGATGAATTCTCAGTAACTTCCTTGTGTTGTGTGTATTCAACTCACAGAGTTGAACGATCCTTTACACAGAGCAGATTTGAAACACTGTTTTTCTGGAATTTGCAAGTGGAGATTTCAGCCGCTTTGAGGTCAATGGTAGAAAAGGAAATATCTTCGTATAAAAACTAGACAGAATGATTCTCAGAAACTCCTTTGTGATGTGTGCGTTCAACTCACAGAGTTTAACCTTTCTTTTCACAGAGCAGTTAGGAAACACTCTGTTTGTGAAGCCTGCCAGTGGATATTCGGACCTCTTTGAGGCCTTCGTTGGAAACGGGATTTCTTCATATTATGCTAGACAGAAGATTTCTCAGTAACTTCTTTGTGTTGTGTGTATGCAACTCACAGAGTTCAACCTTCCTTTAGACAGAGCAGATTTGAAACACTCTTTTTGTGGAATTTGCAAGTGGAGATTTCAAGCGCTTCGATGCCAATGGTAGAAAAGGAAATATCTTCGTATAAAAACAAGACAAACTCGTTCCCAGACACTGCGTAGTGATGTGTGTGTTTAACTCACAGAGTTTAACCTTTCTTTTCATACAGCATTCTGGAAACCCTCTGTTTGTAAAGTCTGCAAGTGGATATTTGGACCTCTTAGATGCCTTCGTTGGAAACGGGATTTCTTCATATAATGCTAGAGGGAAGAATTCTTAGTAACTTCTTTGTGTTGTGTGTATTCAACTGACAGAGTTGAACCTTCCTTTAGACAGAGCAGATTTGAAAGTCTCTTTTTGTGGAATTTGCAAGTGGAGATTTCAAGCGCTTTGAGGCCAAAAGCAGAAAAGGAAATATTTTCCTATAAAAACTCGACAGAATCTTTCTCAGAAACTGCTCTGGGATGTGTGCGTTCAACTCACAGAGTTTAACTTTTCTTTTCATTCAGCAGTTTGGAAACACTCTGTTTGGAAAGTCTGCACGTGGATATTTTGACCTCTTTGAGGCCTTCGTTGGAAACGGGTTTTTTTCATGTAAGGCTAGACAGAAGAAATCTCAGTAACTTCCTTGTGTTGTGTGTATTCAACTGACAGAGTTGAACCTTCCTTTAGACAGAGCAGATTCGAAACACTCTTTTTCTGCAATTTGCAAGTGGAGACTTCAAGCGCTTTGAGGCCAAAGGCAGAAAAGGAAATATCTTCGTATAAAAACCCGACAGAATCATTCTCAGAAACTGCTCTGTGATGTGTGCGTTCAACTCACAGAGTTTAACTTTTCTTTTCATTCAGCAGTTTGGAAACACTCTGTTTGTAAAGTCTGCATGTGGATATCTTGGCCTCTTAGAGGCCTTCGTTGGAAACGGGTTTTTTCATGTAAGGATAGACAGAGGAATTCCCAGTAACTTCCTTGTGTTGTGTGCATTCAACTCACAGAGTTGAACGATTCTTTACACAGAGCAGATTTGAGACACTCTTTTGGTGGAATTTGTAAGTGGAGAATTCAGCCGCTTTGAGGTCAACGGTAGAAAAGGAAATATCTTCGTATTAAAACTAGACAGAATGATTCTCAGAAACTGTTTTGTGATGTGTGCGTTCAACTCACAGAGTTTAACCTTTCTTTTCAGAGAGCAGTTAGGAAACACTCTGTAAAGTCTGCAAGTGGATATTCAGACCTCTTTGAGGCCTTCGTTGGAAACGGGATTTCTTCATATTATGCTAGACAGATGAATTCTCAGTAACTTCCTTGTGTTGTGTGTATTCAACTCACAGAGTTGAACGATCCTTTACACAGAGCAGATTTGAAACACTGTTTTTCTGGAATTTGCAAGTGGAGATTTCAGCCGCTTTGAGGTCAATGGTAGAAAAGGAAATATCTTCTGTATAAAAACTAGACAGAATGATTCTCAGAAACTCCTTTGTGATGTGTGCGTTCAACTCACAGAGTTTAACCTTTCTTTTCACAGAGCAGTTAGGAAACACTCTGTTTGTGAAGCCTGCCAGTGGATATTCGGACCTCTTTGAGGCCTTCGTTGGAAACGGGATTTCTTCATATTATGCTAGACAGAAGATTTCTCAGTAACTTCTTTGTGTTGTGTGTATGCAACTCACAGAGTTCAACCTTCCTTTAGACAGAGCAGATTTGAAACACTCTTTTTGTGGAATTTGCAAGTGGAGATTTCAAGCGCTTCGATGCCAATGGTAGAAAAGGAAATATCTTCGTATAAAAACAAGACAAACTCGTTCCCAGACACTGCGTAGTGATGTGTGTGTTTAACTCACAGAGTTTAACCTTTCTTTTCATACAGCATTCTGGAAACCCTCTGTTTGTAAAGTCTGCAAGTGGATATTTGGACCTCTTAGATGCCTTCGTTGGAAACGGGATTTCTTCATATAATGCTAGAGGGAAGAATTCTTAGTAACTTCTTTGTGTTGTGTGTATTCAACTGACAGAGTTGAACCTTCCTTTAGACAGAGCAGATTTGAAAGTCTCTTTTTGTGGAATTTGCAAGTGGAGATTTCAAGCGCTTTGAGGCCAAAAGCAGAAAAGGAAATATTTTCCTATAAAAACTAGACAGAATCTTTCTCAGAAACTGCTCTGGGATGTGTGCGTTCAACTCACAGAGTTTAACTTTTCTTTTCATTCATCAGTTTGGAAACACTCTGTTTGGAAAGTCTGCACGTGGATATTTTGACCTCTTTGAGGCCTTCGTTGGAAACGGGTTTTTTTCATGTAACGCTAGACAGAAGAAATCTCAGTAACTTCCCTTGTGTTGTGTGTATTCAACTGCCAGGGTTGAACCTTCCTTTAGACAGAGCAGATTCGAAACACTCTTTTTGTGCAATTTGCAAGTGGAGACTGCAAGCGCTTTGAGGCCAAAGGCAGAAAAGGAAATATCTTCGTATAAAAAACAGACAGAATCATTCTCAGAAACTGCTCTGTGATGTGTGCGTTCAACTCACAGAGTTTAACTTTTCTTTTCATTCAGCAGTTTGGAAACACTCTGTTTGTAAAGTCTGCAAGTGGATATCTTGGCCTCTTAGAGGCCTTCGTTGGAAACGGGTTTTTTCATGTAAGGTTAGACAGAGGAATTCCCAGTAACTTCCTTGTGTTGTGTGCATTCAACTCACAGAGTTGAATGATTCTTTACACAGAGCAGATTTGAGACACTCTTTTGGTGGAATTTGTAAGTGGAGAATTCAGCCGCTTTGAGGTCAACGGTAGAAAAGGAAATATCTTCGTATAAAAACTAGACAGAATGATTCTCAGAAACTGTTTTGTGATGTGTGCGTTCAACTCACAGAGTTTAACCTTTCTTTTCAAAGAGCAGTTAGGAAACACTCTGTTTGTAAAGTCTGCAAGTGGATATTCAGACCTCTTTGAGGCCTTCGTTGGAAACGGGATTTCTTCATATTATGCTAGACAGATGAATTCTCAGTAACTTCCTTGTGTTGTGTGTATTCAACTCACAGAGTTGAACGATCCTTTACACAGAGCAGATTTGAAACACTGTTTTTCTGGAATTTGCAAGTGGAGATTTCAGCCGCTTTGAGGTCAATGGTAGAAAAGGAAATATCTTCGTATAAAAACTAGACAGAATGATTCTCAGAAACTCCTTTGTGATGTGTGCGTTCAACTCACAGAGTTTAACCTTTCTTTTCACAGAGCAGTTAGGAAACACTCTGTTTGTGAAGCCTGCCAGTGGATATTCGGACCTCTTTGAGGCCTTCGTTGGAAACGGGATTTCTTCATATTATGCTAGACAGAAGATTTCTCAGTAACTTCTTTGTGTTGTGTGTATGCAACTCACAGAGTTCAACCTTCCTTTAGACAGAGCAGATTTGAAACACTCTTTTTGTGGAATTTGCAAGTGGAGATTTCAAGCGCTTCGATGCCAATGGTAGAAAAGGAAATATCTTCGTATAAAAACAAGACAAACTCGTTCCCAGACACTGCGTAGTGATGTGTGTGTTTAACTCACAGAGTTTAACCTTTCTTTTCATACAGCATTCTGGAAACCCTGTGTTTGTAAAGTCTGCAAGTGGATATTTGGACCTCTTAGATGCCTTCGTTGGAAACGGGATTTCTTCATATAATGCTAGAGGGAAGAATTCTTAGTAACTTCTTTGTGTTGTGTGTATTCAACTGACAGAGTTGAACCTTCCTTTAGACAGAGCAGATTTGAAAGTCTCTTTTTGTGGAATTTGCAAGTGGAGATTTCAAGCGCTTTGAGGCCAAAAGCAGAAAAGGAAATATTTTCCTATAAAAACTAGACAGAATCTTTCTCAGAAACTGCTCTGGGATGTGTGCGTTCAACTCACAGAGTTTAACTTTTCTTTTCATTCAGCAGTTTGGAAACACTCTGTTTGGAAAGTCTGCACGTGGATATTTTGACCTCTTTGAGGCCTTCGTTGGAAACGGGTTTTTTTCATGTAAGGCTAGACAGAAGAAATCTCAGTAACTTCCTTGTGTTGTGTGTATTCAACTGACAGAGTTGAACCTTCCTTTAGACAGAGCAGATTCGAAACACTCTTTTTCTGCAATTTGCAAGTGGAGACTTCAAGCGCTTTGAGGCCAAAGGCAGAAAAGGAAATATCTTCGTATAAAAACCCGACAGAATCATTCTCAGAAACTGCTCTGTGATGTGTGCGTTCAACTCACAGAGTTTAACTTTTCTTTTCATTCAGCAGTTTGGAAACACTCTGTTTGTAAAGTCTGCAAGTGGATATCTTGGCCTCTTAGAGGCCTTCGTTGGAAACGGGTTTTTTCATGTAAGGTTAGACAGAGGAATTCCCAGTAACTTCCTTGTGTTGTGTGCATTCAACTCACAGAGTTGAATGATTCTTTACACAGAGCAGATTTGAGACACTCTTTTGGTGGAATTTGTAAGTGGAGAATTCAGCCGCTTTGAGGTCAACGGTAGAAAAGGAAATATCTTCGTATAAAAACTAGACAGAATGATTCTCAGAAACTGTTTTGTGATGTGTGCGTTCAACTCACAGAGTTTAACCTTTCTTTTCAAAGAGCAGTTAGGAAACACTCTGTTTGTAAAGTCTGCAAGTGGATATTCAGACCTCTTTGAGGCCTTCGTTGGAAACGGGATTTCTTCATATTATGCTAGACAGATGAATTCTCAGTAACTTCCTTGTGTTGTGTGTATTCAACTCACAGAGTTGAACGATCCTTTACACAGAGCAGATTTGAAACACTGTTTTTCTGGAATTTGCAAGTGGAGATGTCAGCCGCTTTGAGGTCAATGGTAGAAAAGGAAATATCTTCGTATAAAAACTAGACAGAATGATTCTCAGAAACTCCTTTGTGATGTGTGCGTTCAACTCACAGAGTTTAACCTTTCTTTTCACAGAGCAGTTAGGAAACACTCTGTTTGTGAAGCCTGCCAGTGGATAATCGGACCTCTTTGAGGCCTTCGTTGGAAACGGGATTTCTTCATATTATGCTAGACAGAAGATTTCTCAGTAACTTCTTTGGGTTGTGTGTATGCAACTCACAGAGTTCAACCTTCCTTTAGAGAGAGCATATTTGAAACACTCTTTTTGTGGAATTTGCAAGTGGAGATTTCAAGCGCTTCGATGCCAATGGTAGAAAAGGAAATATCTTCGTATAAAAACAAGACAAACTCGTTCCCAGACACTGCGTAGTGATGTGTGTGTTTAACTCACAGAGTTTAACCTTTCTTTTCATACAGCATTCTGGAAACCCTGTGTTTGTAAAGTCTGCAAGTGGATATTTGGACCTCTTAGATGCCTTCGTTGGAAACGGGATTTCTTCATATAATGCTAGAGGGAAGAATTCTTAGTAACTTCTTTGTGTTGTGTGTATTCAACTGACAGAGTTGAACCTTCCTTTAGACAGAGCAGATTTGAAAGTCTCTTTCTGTGGAATTTGCAAGTGGAGATTTCAAGCGCTTTGAGGCCAAAAGCAGAAAAGGAAATATTTTCCTATAAAAACTCGACAGAATCTTTCTCAGAAACTGCTCTGGGATGTGTGCGTTCAACTCACAGAGTTTAACTTTTCTTTTCATTCAGCAGTTTGGAAACACTCTGTTTGGAAAGTCTGCACGTGGATATTTTGACCTCTTTGAGGCCTTCGTTGGAAACGGGTTTTTTTCATGTAAGGCTAGACAGAAGAAATCTCAGTAACTTCCTTGTGTTGTGTGTATTCAACTGACAGAGTTGAACCTTCCTTTAGACAGAGCAGATTCGAAACACTCTTTTTCTGCAATTTGCAAGTGGAGACTTCAAGCGCTTTGAGGCCAAAGGCAGAAAAGGAAATATCTTCGTATAAAAACCCGACAGAATCATTCTCAGAAACTGCTCTGTGATGTGTGCGTTCAACTCACAGAGTTTAACTTTTCTTTTCATTCAGCAGTTTGGAAACACTCTGTTTGTAAAGTCTGCAAGTGGATATCTTGGCCTCTTAGAGGCCTTCGTTGGAAACGGGTTTTTTCATTTAAGGTTAGACAGAGGAATTCCCAGTAACTTCCTTGTGTTGTGTGCATTCAACTCACAGAGTTGAATGATTCTTTACACAGAGCAGATTTGAGACACTCTTTTGGTGGAATTTGTTAGTGGAGAATTCAGCCGCTTTGAGGTCAATGGTAGAAAAGGAAATATCTTCGTATAAAAACTAGACAGAATGATTCTCAGAAACTGTTTTGTGATGTGTGCGTTCAACTCACAGAGTTTAACCTTTCTTTTCAAAGAGCAGTTAGGAAACACTCTGTTTGTAAAGTCTGCAAGCGGATATTCAGACCTCTTTGAGACCTTCGTTGGAAACGGGATTTCTTCATATTATGCTAGACAGATGAATTCTCAGTAACTTCCTTGTGTTGTGTGTATTCAACTCACAGAGTTGAACGATCCTTTACACAGAGCAGATTTGAAACACTGTTTTTCTGGAATTTGCAAGTGGAGATTTCAGCCGCTTTGAGGTCAATGGTAGAAAAGGAAATATCTTCGTATAAAAACTAGACAGAATGATTCTCAGAAACTCCTTTGTGATGTGTGCGTTCAACTCACAGAGTTTAACCTTTCTTTTCACAGAGCAGTTAGGAAACACTCTGTTTGTGAAGCCTGCCAGTGGATATTCGGACCTCTTTGAGGCCTTCGTTGGAAACGGGATTTCTTCATATTATGCTAGACAGAAGATTTCTCAGTAACTTCTTTGTGTTGTGTGTATGCAACTCACAGAGTTCAACCTTCCTTTAGACAGAGCAGATTTGAAACACTCTTTTTGTGGAATTTGCAAGTGGAGATTTCAAGCGCTTCGATGCCAATGGTAGAAAAGGAAATATCTTCGTATAAAAACAAGACAAACTCGTTCCCAGACACTGCGTAGTGATGTGTGTGTTTAACTCACAGAGTTTCACCTTTCTTTTCATACAGCATTCTGGAAACCCTCTGTTTGTAAAGTCTGCAAGTGGATATTTGGACCTCTTAGATGCCTTCGTTGGAAACGGGATTTCTTCATATAATGCTAGAGGGAAGAATTCTTAGTAACTTCTTTGTGTTGTGTGTATTCAACTGACAGAGTTGAACCTTCCTTTAGACAGAGCAGATTTGAAAGTCTCTTTTTGTGGAATTTGCAAGTGGAGATTTCAAGCGCTTTGAGGCCAAAAGCAGAAAGGGAAATATTTTCCTATAAAAACTCGACAGACTCATTCTCAGAAACTGCTCTGTGATGTGTGCGTTCAACTCACAGAGTTTAACTTTTCTTTTCATTCAGCAGTTTGGAAACACTGTTTGGAAAGTCTGCACGTGGATATTTTGACCTCTTTGAGGCCTTCGTTGGAAACGGGTTTTTTTTATGTAAGGCTAGACAGAAGAAATCTCAGTAACTTCCTTGTGTTGTGTGTATTCAACTGACAGAGTTGAACCTTCCTTTAGACAGAGCAGATTCGAAACACTCTTTTTCTGCAATTTGCAAGTGGAGACTTCAAGCGCTTTGAGGCCAAAGGCAGAAAAGGAAATATCTTCGTATAAAAACCCGACAGAATCATTCTCAGAAACTGCTCTGTGATGTGTGCGTTCAACTCACAGAGTTTAACTTTTCTTTTCATTCAGCAGTTTGGAAACACTCTGTTTGTAAAGTCTGCAAGTGGATATCTTGGCCTCTTAGAGGCCTTCGTTGGAAGCGGGTTTTTTCATGTAAGGATAGACAGAGGAATTCCCAGTAACTTCCTTGTGTTGTGTGCATTCAACTCACAGAGTTGAATGATTCTTTACACAGAGCAGATTTGAGACACTCTTTTGGTGGAATTTGTAAGTGGAGAATTCAGCCGCTTTGAGGTCAACGGTAGAAAAGGAAATATCTTCGTATAAAAACTAGACAGAATGATTCTCAGAAACTGTTTTGTGATGTGTGCGTTCAACTCACAGAGTTTAACCTTTCTTTTCAAAGAGCAGTTAGGAAACACTCTGTTTGTAAAGTCTGCAAGTGGATATTCAGACCTCTTTGAGGCCTTCGTTGGAAACGGGATTTCTTCATATTATGCTAGACAGATGAATTCTCAGTAACTTCCTTGTGTTGTGTGTATTCAACTCACAGAGTTGAACGATCCTTTACACAGAGCAGATTTGAAACACTGTTTTTCTGGAATTTGCAAGTGGAGATTTCAGCTGCTTTGAGGTCAATGGTAGAAAAGGAAATATCTTCGTATAAAAACTAGACAGAATGATTCTCAGAAACTCCTTTGTGATGTGTGCGTTCAACTCACAGAGTTTAACCTTTCTTTTCACAGAGCAGTTAGGAAACACTCTGTTTGTGAAGCCTGCCCGTGGATATTCGGACCTCTTTGAGGTCTTCGTTGGAAACGGGATTTCTTCATATTATGCTAGACAGAAGATTTCTCAGTAACTTCTTTGTGTTGTGTGTATGCAACTCACAGAGTTCAACCTTCCTTTAGACAGAGCAGATTTGAAACACTCTTTTTGTGGAATTTGCAAGTGGAGATTTCAAGCGCTTCGATGCCAATGGTAGAAAAGGAAATATCTTCGTATAAAAACAAGACAAACTCGTTCCCAGACACTGCGTAGTGATGTGTGTGTTTAACTCACAGAGTTTCACCTTTCTTTTCATACAGCATTCTGGAAACCCTCTGTTTGTAAAGTCTGCAAGTGGATATTTGGACCTCTTAGATGCCTTCGTTGGAAACGGGATTTCTTCATATAATGCTAGAGGGAAGAATTCTTAGTAACTTCTTTGTGTTGTGTGTATTCAACTGACAGAGTTGAACCTTCCTTTAGACAGAGCAGATTTGAAAGTCTCTTTTTGTGGAATTTGCAAGTGGAGATTTCAAGCGCTTTGAGGCCAAAGGCAGAAAAGGAAATATCTTCGTATAAAAACCCGACAGAATCATTCTCAGAAACTGCTCTGTGATGTGTGCGTTCAACTCACAGAGTTTAACTTTTCTTTTCATTCAGCAGTTTGGAAACACTCTGTTTGTAAAGTCTGCAAGTGGATATCTTGGCCTCTTAGAGGCCTTCTTTGGAAACGGGTTTTTTCATGTAAGGTTAGACAGAGGAATTCCCAGTAACTTCCTTGTGTTGTGTGCATTCAACTCACAGAGTTGAATGATTCTTTACACAGAGCAGATTTGAGACACTCTTTTGGTGGAATTTGTAAGTGGAGAATTCAGCTGCTTTGAGGTCAACGGTAGAAAAGGAAATATCTTCGTATAAAAACTAGACAGAATGATTCTCAGAAACTGTTTTGTGATGTGTGCGTTCAACTCACAGAGTTTAACCTTTCTTTTCAAAGAGCAGTTAGGAAACACTCTGTTTGTAAAGTCTGCAAGTGGATATTCAGACCTCTTTGAGGCCTTCGTTGGAAACGGGATTTCTTCATATTATGCTAGACAGATGAATTCTCAGTAACTTCCTTGTGTTGTGTGTATTCAAGTCACAGAGTTGAACGATCCTTTACACAGAGCAGATTTGAAACACTGTTTTTCTGGAATTTGCAAGTGGAGATTTCAGCCGCTTTGAGGTCAATGGTAGAAAAGGAAATATCTTCGTATAAAAACTAGACAGAATGATTCTCAGAAACTCCTTTGTGATGTGTGCGTTCAACTCACAGAGTTTAACCTTTCTTTTCACAGAGCAGTTAGGAAACACTCTGTTTGTGAAGCCTGCCAGTGGATATTCGGACCTCTTTGAGGCCTTCGTTGGAAACGGGATTTCTTCATATTATGCTAGACAGAAGATTTCTCAGTAACTTCTTTGTGTTGTGTGTATGCAACTCACAGAGTTCAACCTTCCTTTAGACAGAGCAGATTTGAAACACTCTTTTTGTGGAATTTGCAAGTGGAGATTTCAAGCGCTTCGATGCCAATGGTAGAAAAGGAAATATCTTCGTATAAAAACAAGACAAACTCGTTCCCAGACACTGCGTAGTGATGTGTGTGTTTAACTCACAGAGTTTAACCTTTCTTTTCATACAGCATTCTGGAAACCCTGTGTTTGTAAAGTCTGCAAGTGGATATTTGGACCTCTTAGATGCCTTCGTTGGAAACGGGATTTCTTCATATAATGCTAGAGGGAAGAATTCTTAGTAACTTCTTTGTGTTGTGTGTATTCAACTGACAGAGTTGAACCTTCCTTTAGACAGAGCAGATTTGAAAGTCTCTTTTTGTGGAATTTGCAAGTGGAGATTTCAAGCGCTTTGAGGCCAAAAGCAGAAAAGGAAATATTTTCCTATAAAAACTCGACAGAATCTTTCTCAGAAACTGCTCTGGGATGTGTGCGTTCAACTCACAGAGTTTAACTTTTCTTTTCATTCAGCAGTTTGGAAACACTCTGTTTGGAAAGTCTGCACGTGGATATTTTGACCTCTTTGAGGCCTTCGTTGGAAACGGGTTTTTTTCATGTAAGGCTAGACAGAAGAAATCTCAGTAACTTCCTTGTGTTGTGTGTATTCAACTGACAGAGTTGAACCTTCCTTTAGACAGAGCAGATTCGAAACACTCTTTTTCTGCAATTTGCAAGTGGAGACTTCAAGCGCTTTGAGGCCAAAGGCAGAAAAGGAAATATCTTCGTATAAAAACCCGACAGAATCATTCTCAGAAACTGCTCTGTGATGTGTGCGTTCAACTCACAGAGTTTAACTTTTCTTTTCATTCAGCAGTTTGGAAACACTCTGTTTGTAAAGTCTGCAAGTGGATATCTTGGCCTCTTAGAGGCCTTCGTTGGAAACGGGTTTTTTCATGTAAGGTTAGACAGAGGAATTCCCAGTAACTTCCTTGTGTTGTGTGCACTCAACTCACAGAGTTGAATGATTCTTTACACAGAGCAGATTTGAGACACTCTTTTGGTGGAATTTGTAAGTGGAGAATTCAGCCGATTTGAGGTCAATGGTACAAAAGGAAATATCTTCGTATAAAAACTAGACAGAATGATTCTCAGAAACTGTTTTGTGATGTGTGCGTTCAACTCACAGAGTTTAACCTTTCTTTTCAAAGAGCAGTTAGGAAACACTCTGTTTGTAAAGTCTGCAAGTGGATATTCAGAACTCTTTGAGGCGTTCTTTGGAAACGGGATTTCTTCATATTATGCTAGACAGATGAATTCTCAGTAACTTCCTTGTGTTGTGTGTATTCAACTCACAGAGTTGAACGATCCTTTACACAGAGCAGATTTGAAACACTGTTTTTCTGGAATTCGCAAGTGGAGATTTCAGCTGCTTTGAGGTCAATGGTAGAAAAGGAAATATCTTCGTATAAAAACTAGACAGAATGATTCTCAGAAACTCCTTTGTGATGTGTGCGTTCAACTCACAGAGTTTAACCTTTCTTTTCACAGAGCAGTTAGGAAACACTCTGTTTGTGAAGCCTGCCAGTGGATATTCGGACCTCTTTGAGGCCTTCGTTGGAAACGGGATTTCTTCATATTATGCTAGACAGAAGATTTCTCAGTAACTTCTTTGTGTTGTGTGTATGCAACTCACAGAGTTCAACCTTCCTTTAGACAGAGCAGATTTGAAACACTCTTTTTGTGGAATTTGCAAGTGGAGATTTCAAGCGCTTTGAGGCCAAAAGCAGAAAAGGAAATATTTTCCTATAAAAACTAGACAGAATCTTTCTCAGAAACTGCTCTGTGATGTGTGCGTTCAACTCACAGAGTTTAACTTTTCTTTTCATTCAGCAGTTTGGAAACACTCTGTTTGTAAGTCTGCAAGTGGATATCTTGGCCTCTTAGAGGCCTTCGTTGGAAACGGGTTTTTTCATGTAAGGATAGACAGAGGAATTCCCAGTAACTTCCTTGTGTTGTGTGCATTCAACTCACAGAGTTGAATGATTCTTTACACAGAGCAGATTTGAGACACTCTTTTGGTGGAATTTGTTAGTGGAGAATTCAGCCGCTTTGAGGTCAACGGTAGAAAAGGAAATATCTTCGTATAAAAACTAGACAGAATGATTCTCAGAAACTTTTTTGTGATGTGTGCGTTCAACTCACAGAGTTTAACCTTTCTTTTCAAAGAGCAGTTAGGAAACACTCTGTTTGTAAAGTCTGCAAGTGGATATTCAGACCTCTTTGAGGCCTTCGTTGGAAACGGGATTTCTTCATATTATGCTAGACAGATGAATTCTCAGTAACTTCCTTGTGTTGTGTGTATTCAACTCACAGAGTTGAACGATCCTTTACACAGAGCAGATTTGAAACACTGTTTTTCTGGAATTTGCAAGTGGAGATTTCAGCCGCTTTGAGGTCAATGGTAGAAAAAGAAATATCTTCGTATAAAAACTAGACAGAATGATTCTCAGAAACTCCTTTGTGATGTGTGCGTTCAACTCACAGAGTTTAACCTTTCTTTTCACAGAGCAGTTAGGAAACACTCTGTTTGTGAAGCCTGCCAGTGGATATTCGGACCTCTTTGAGGCCTTCGTTGGAAACGGGATTTCTTCATATTATGCTAGACAGAATATTTCTCAGTAACTTCTTTGTGTTGTGTGTATGCAACTCACAGAGTTCAACCTTCCTTTAGACAGAGCAGATTTGAAACACTCTTTTTGTGGAATTTGCAAGTGGAGATTTCAAGCGCTTCGATGCCAATGGTAGAAAAGGAAATATCTTCGTATAAAAACAAGACAAACTTGTTCCCAGACACTGCGTAGTGATGTGTGTGTTTAACTCACAGAGTTTAACCTTTCTTTTCATACAGCATTCTGGAAACCCTCTGTTTGTAAAGTCTGCAAGTGGATATTTGGACCTCTTAGATGCCTTCGTTGGAAACGGGATTTCCTCATATAATGCTAGAGGGAAGAATTCTTAGTAACTTCTTTGTGTTGTGTGTATTCAACTGACAGAGTTGAACCTTCCTTTAGACAGAGCAGATTTGAAAGTCTCTTTTTGTGGAATTTGCAAGTGGAGATTTCAAGCGCTTTGAGGCCAAAAGCAGAAAAGGAAATATTTTCCTATAAAAACTCGACAGAATCTTTCTCAGAAACTGCTCTGGGATGTGTGCGTTCAACTCACAGAGTTTAACTTTTCTTTTCATTCAGCAGTTTGGAAACACTCTGTTTGGAAAGTCTGCACGTGGATATTTTGACCTCTTTGAGGCCTTCGTTGGAAACGGGTTTTTTTCATGTAAGGCTAGACAGAAGAAATCTCAGTAACTTCCTTGTGTTGTGTGTATTCAACTGACAGAGTTGAACCTTCCTTTAGACAGAGCAGATTCGAAACACTCTTTTTCTGCAATTTGCAAGTGGAGACTTCAAGCGCTTTGAGGCCAAAGGCAGAAAAGGAAATATCTTCGTATAAAAACCCGACAGAATCATTCTCAGAAACTGCTCTGTGATGTGTGCGTTCAACTCACAGAGTTTAACTTTTCTTTTCATTCAGCAGTTTGGAAACACTCTGTTTGTAAAGTCTGCAAGTGGATATCTTGGCCTCTTAGAGGCCTTCGTTGGAAGCGGGTTTTTTCATGTAAGGATAGACAGAGGAATTCCCAGTAACTTCCCTTGTGTTGTGTGCATTCAACTCACAGAGTTGAATGATTCTTTACACAGAGCAGATTTGAGACACTCTTTTGGTGGAATTTGTAAGTGGAGAATTCAGCCGCTTTGAGGTCAACGGTAGAAAAGGAAATATCTTCGTATAAAAACTAGACAGAATGATTCTCAGAAACTGTTTTGTGATGTGTGCTTTCAACTCACAGAGTTTAACCTTTCTTTTCAAAGAGCAGTTAGGAAACACTCTGTTTGTAAAGTCTGCAAGTGGATATTCAGACCTCTTTGAGGCCTTCGTTGGAAACGGGATTTCTTCATATTATGCTAGACAGATGAATTCTCAGTAACTTTCCTTGTGTTGTGTGTATTCAACTCACAGAGTTGAACGATCCTTTACACAGAGCAGATTTGAAACACTGTTTTTCTGGAATTTGCAAGTGGAGATTTCAGCCGCTTTGAGGTCAATGGTAGAAAAGGAAATATGCTTCGTATAAAAACTAGACAGAATGATTCTCAGAAACTCCTTTGTGATGTGTGCGTTCAACTCACAGAGTTTAACCTTTCTTTTCACAGAGCAGTTAGGAAACACTCTGTTTGTGAAGCCTGCCAGTGGATATTCGGACCTCTTTGAGGCCTTCGTTGGAAACGGGATTTCTTCATATTATGCTAGACAGAAGATTTCTCAGTAACTTCTTTGTGTTGTGTGTATGCAACTCACAGAGTTCAACCTTCCTTTAGACAGAGCAGATTTGAAACACTCTTTTTGTGGAATTTCCAAGTGGAGATTTCAAGCGCTTCGATGCCAATGGTAGAAAAGGAAATATCTTCGTATAAAAACAAGACAAACTCGTTCTCAGACACTGCGTAGTGATGTGTGTGTTTAACTCACAGAGTTTCACCTTTCTTTTCATACAGCATTCTGGAAACCCTCTGTTTGTAAAGTCTGCAAGTGGATATTTGGACCTCTTAGATGCCTTCGTTGGAAACGGGATTTCTTCATATAATGCTAGAGGGAAGAATTCTTAGTAACTTCTTTGTGTTGTGTGTATTCAACTGACAGAGTTGAACCTTCCTTTAGACAGAGCAGATTTGAAAGTCTCTTTTTGTGGAATTTGCAAGTGGAGATTTCAAGCGCTTTGAGGCCAAAAGCAGAAAAGGAAATATTTTCCTATAAAAACTAGACAGAATCTTTCTCAGAAACTGCTCTGGGATGTGTGCGTTCAACTCACAGAGTTTAACTTTTCTTTTCATTCAGCAGTTTGGAAACACTCTGTTTGGAAAGTCTGCACGTGGATATTTTGACCTCTTTGAGGCCTTCGTTGGAAACGGGTTTTTTTCATGTAAGGCTAGACAGAAGAAATCTCAGTAACTTCCTTGTGTTGTGTGTATTCAACTGACAGAGTTGAACCTTCCTTTAGACAGAGCAGATTCGAAACACTCTTTTTCTGCAATTTGCAAGTGGAGATTTCAAGCGCTTTGAGGCCAAAGGCAGAAAAGGAAATATCTTCGTATAAAAACCCGACAGAATCATTCTCAGAAACTGCTCTGTGATGTGTGCGTTCAACTCACAGAGTTTAACTTTTCTTTTCATTCAGCAGTTTGGAAACACTCTGTTTGTAAAGTCTGCAAGTGGATATCTTGGCCTCTTAGAGGCCTTCGTTGGAAACGGGTTTTTTCATGTAAGGATAGACAGAGGAATTCCCAGTAACTTCCTTGTGTTGTGTGCATTCAACTCACAGAGTTGAATGATTCTTTACACAGAGCAGATTTGAGACACTCTTTTGGTGGAATTTGTAAGTGGAGAATTCAGCCGCTTTGAGGTCAACGGTAGAAAAGGAAATATCTTCGTATAAAAACTAGACAGAATGATTCTCAGAAACTGTTTTGTGATGTGTGCGTTCAACTCACAGAGTTTAACCTTTCTTTTCAGAGAGCAGTTAGGAAACACTCTGTAAAGTCTGCAAGTGGATATTCAGACCTCTTTGAGGCCTTCGTTGGAAACGGGATTTCTTCATATTATGCTAGACAGATGAATTCTCAGTAACTTCCTTGTGTTGTGTGTATTCAACTCACAGAGTTGAACGATCCTTTACACAGAGCAGATTTGAAACACTGTTTTTCTGGAATTTGCAAGTGGAGATTTCAGCCGCTTTGAGGTCAATTGTAGAAAAGGAAATATCTTCGTATAAAAACTAGACAGAATGATTCTCAGAAACTCCTTTGTGATGTGTGCGTTCAACTCACAGAGTTTAACCTTTCTTTTCACAGAGCAGTTAGGAAACACTCTGTTTGTGAAGCCTGCCAGTGGATATTCGGACCTCTTTCAGGCCTTCGTTGGAAACGGGATTTCTTCATATTATGCTAGACAGAAGATTTCTCAGTAACTTCTTTGTGTTGTGTGTATGCAACTCACAGAGTTCAACCTTCCTTTAGACAGAGCAGATTTGAAACACTCTTTTTGTGGAATTTGCAAGTGGAGATTTCAAGCGCTTCGATGCCAATGGTAGAAAAGGAAATATCTTCGTATAAAAACAACACAAACTCGTTCCCAGACACTGCGTAGTGATGTGTGTGTTTAACTCACAGAGTTTAACCTTTCTTTTCATACAGCATTCTGGAAACCCTCTGTTTGTAAAGTCTGCAAGTAGATATTTGGACCTCTTAGATGCCTTCGTTGGAAACGGGATTTCTTCATATAATGCTAGAGGGAAGAATTCTTAGTAACTTCCTTTGTGTTGTGTGTATTCAACTGACAGAGTTGAACCTTCCTTTAGACAGAGCAGATTTGAAAGTCTCTTTTTGTGGAATTTGCAAGTGGAGATTTCAAGCGCTTTGAGGCCAAAAGCAGAAAAGGAAATATTTTCCTATAAAAACTCGACAGAATCTTTCTCAGAAACTGCTCTGGGATGTGTGCGTTCAACTCACAGAGTTTAACTTTTCTTTTCATTCAGCAGTTTGGAAACACTCTGTTTGGAAAGTCTGCACGTGGATATTTTGACCTCTTTGAGGCCTTCGTTGGAAACGGGTTTTTTTCATGTAAGGCTAGACAGAAGAAATCTCAGTAACTTCCTTGTGTTGTGTGTATTCAACTGACAGAGTTGAACCTTCCTTTAGACAGAGCAGATTCGAAACACTCTTTTTCTGCAATTTGCAAGTGGAGACTTCAAGCGCTTTGAGGCCAAAGGCAGAAAAGGAAATATCTTCGTATAAAAACCCGACAGAATCATTCTCAGAAACTGCTCTGTGATGTGTGCGTTCAACTCACAGAGTTTAACTTTTCTTTTCATTCAGCAGTTTGGAAACACTCTGTTTGTAAAGTCTGCAAGTGGATATCTTGGCCTCTTAGAGGCCTTCGTTGGAAACGGGTTTTTTCATGTAAGGATAGACAGAGGAATTCCCAGTAACTTCCTTGTGTTGTGTGCATTCAACTCACAGAGTTGAATGATTCTTTACACAGAGCAGATTTGAGACACTCTTTTGGTGGAATTTGTAAGTGGAGAATTCAGCCGCTTTGAGGTCAACGGTAGAAAAGGAAATATCTTCGTATAAAAACTAGACAGAATGATTCTCAGAAACTGTTTTGTGATGTGTGCGTTCAACTCACAGAGTTTAACCTTTCTTTTCAAAGAGCAGTTAGGAAACACTCTGTTTGTAAAGTCTGCAAGTGGATATTCAGACCTCTTTGAGGCCTTCGTTGGAAACGGGATTTCTTCATATTATGCTAGACAGATGAATTCTCAGTAACTTCCTTGTGTTGTGTGTATTCAACTCACAGAGTTGAACGATCCTTTACACAGAGCAGATTTGAAACACTGTTTTTCTGGAATTTGCAAGTGGAGATTTCAGCCGCTTTGAGGTCAATGGTAGAAAAGGAAATATCTTCGTATAAAAACTAGACAGAATGATTCTCAGAAACTCCTTTGTGATGTGTGCGTTCAACTCACAGAGTTTAACCTTTCTTTTCACAGAGCAGTTAGGAAACACTCTGTTTGTGAAGCCTGCCAGTGGATATTCGGACCTCTTTGAGGCCTTCGTTGGAAACGGGATTTCTTCATATTATGCTAGACAGAAGATTTCTCAGTAACTTCTTTGTGTTGTGTGTATGCAACTCACAGAGTTCAACCTTCCTTTAGACAGAGCAGATTTGAAACACTCTTTTTGTGGAATTTGCAAGTGGAGATTTCAAGCGCTTCGATGCCAATGGTAGAAAAGGAAATATCTTCGTATAAAAACAAGACAAACTCGTTCCCAGACACTGCGTAGTGATGTGTGTGTTTAACTCACAGAGTTTAACCTTTCTTTTCATACAGCATTCTGGAAACCCTCTGTTTGTAAAGTCTGCAAGTGGATATTTGGACCTCTTAGATGCCTTCGTTGGAAACGGGATTTCTTCATATAATGCTAGAGGGAAGAATTCTTAGTAACTTCTTTGTGTTGTGTGTATTCAACTGACAGAGTTGAACCTTCCTTTAGACAGAGCAGATTTGAAAGTCTCTTTTTGTGGAATTTGCAAGTGGAGATTTCAAGCGCTTTGAGGCCAAAAGCAGAAAAGGAAATATTTTCCTATAAAAACTCGACAGAATCTTTCTCAGAAACTGCTCTGGGATGTGTGCGTTCAACTCACAGAGTTTAACTTTTCTTTTCATTCAGCAGTTTGGAAACACTCTGTTTGGAAAGTCTGCACGTGGATATTTTGACCTCTTTGAGGCCTTCGTTGGAAACGGGTTTTTTTCATGTAACGCTAGACAGAGAAAATCTCAGTAACTTCCTTGTGTTGTGTGTATTCAACTGACAGAGTTGAACCTTCTTTTAGACAGAGCAGATTCGAAACACTCTTTTTCTGCAATTTGCAAGTGGAGACTTCAAGCGCTTTGAGGCCAAAGGCAGAAAAGGAAATATCTTCGTATAAAAACCCGACAGAATCATTCTCAGAAACTGCTCTGTGATGTGTGCGTTCAACTCACAGAGTTTAACTTTTCTTTTCATTCAGCAGTTTGGAAACACTCTGTTTGTAAAGTCTGCAAGTGGATATCTTGGCCTCTTAGAGGCCTTCGTTGGAAACGGGTTTTTTCATGTAAGGTTAGACAGAGGAATTCCCAGTAACTTCCTTGTGTTGTGTGCATTCAACTCACAGAGTTGAATGATTCTTTACACAGAGCAGATTTGAGACACTCTTTTGGTGGAATTTGTAAGTGGAGAATTCAGCCGCTTTGAGGTCAACGGTAGAAAAGGAAATATCTTCGTATAAAAACTAGACAGAATGATTCTCAGAAACTGTTTTGTGATGTGTGCGTTCAACTCACAGAGTTTAACCTTTCTTTTCAAAGAGCAGTTAGGAAACATTCTGTTTGTAAAGTCTGCAAGTGGATATTCAGACCTCTTTGAGGCCTTCGTTGGAAACGGGATTTCTTCATATTATGCTAGACAGATGAATTCTCAGTAACTTCCTTGTGTTGTGTGTATTCAACTCACAGAGTTGAACGATCCTTTACACAGAGCAGATTTGAAACACTGTTTTTCTGGAATTTGCAAGTGGAGATTTCAGCCGCTTTGAGGTCAATGGTAGAAAAGGAAATATCTTCGTATAAAAACTAGACAGAATGATTCTCAGAAACTCCTTTGTGATGTGTGCGTTCAACTCACAGGGTTTAACCTTTCTTTTCACAGAGCAGTTAGGAAACACTCTGTTTGTGAAGCCTGCCAGTGGATATTCGGACCTCTTTGAGGCCTTCGTTGGAAACGGGATTTCTTCATATTATGCTAGACAGAAGATTTCTCAGTAACTTCTTTGTGTTGTGTGTATGCAACTCACAGAGTTCAACCTTCCTTTAGACAGAGCAGATTTGAAACACTCTTTTTGTGGAATTTGCAAGTGGAGATTTCAAGCGCTTCGATGCCAATGGTAGAAAAGGAAATATCTTCGTATAAAAACAAGACAAACTCGTTCCCAGACACTGCGTAGTGATGTGTGTGTTTAACTCACAGAGTTTCACCTTTCTTTTCATACAGCATTCTGGAAACCCTCTGTTTGTAAAGTCTGCAAGTGGATATTTGGACCTCTTGGATGCCTTCGTTGCAAACGGGATTTCTTCATATAATGCTAGAGGGAAGAATTCTTAGTAACTTCTTTGTGTTGTGTGTATTCAACTGACAGAGTTGAACCTTCCTTTAGACAGAGCAGATTTGAAAGTCTCTTTTTGTGGAATTTGCAAGTGGAGATTTCAAGCGCTTTGAGGCCAAAAGCAGAAAAGGAAATATTTTCCTATAAAAACTCGACAGAATCTTTCTCAGAAACTGCTCTGGGATGTGTGCGTTCAACTCACAGAGTTTAACTTTTCTTTTCATTCAGCAGTTTGGAAACACTCTGTTTGGAAAGTCTGCACGTGGATATTTTGACCTCTTTGAGGCCTTCGTTGGAAACGGGTTTTTTTCATGTAAGGCTAGACAGAAGAAATCTCAGTAACTTCCTTGTGTTGTGTGTATTCAACTGACAGAGTTGAACCTTCCTTTAGACAGAGCAGATTCGAAACACTCTTTTTCTGCAATTTGCAAGTGGAGACTTCAAGCGCTTTGAGGCCAAAGGCAGAAAAGGAAATATCTTCGTATAAAAACCCGACAGAATCATTCTCAGAAACTGCTCTGTGATGTGTGCGTTCAACTCACAGAGTTTAACTTTTCTTTTCATTCAGCAGTTTGGAAACACTCTGTTTGTAAAGTCTGCAAGTGGATATCTTGGCCTCTTAGAGGCCTTCGTTGGAAACGGGTTTTTTCATGTAAGGTTAGACAGAGGAATTCCCAGTAACTTCCTTGTGTTGTGTGCATTCAACTCACAGAGTTGAATGATTCTTTACACAGAGCAGATTTGAGACACTCTTTGGGTGGAATTTGTAAGTGGAGAATTCAGCCGCTTTGAGGTCAACGGTAGAAAAGGAAATATCTTCGTATAAAAACTAGACAGAATGATTCTCAGAAACTGTTTTTTGATGTGTGCGTTCAACTCACAGAGTTTAACCTTTCTTTTCAAAGAGCAGTTAGGAAACACTCTGTTTGTAAAGTCTGCAAGTGGATATTCAGACCTCTTTGAGGCCTTCGTTGGAAACGGGATTTCTTCATATTATGCTAGACAGATGAATTCTCAGTAACTTCCTTGTGTTGTGTGTATTCAACTCACAGAGTTGAACGATCCTTTACACAGAGCAGATTTGAAACACTGTTTTTCTGGAATTTGCAAGTGGAGATTTCAGCCGCTTTGAGGTCAATGGTAGAAAAGCAAATATCTTCGTATAAAAACTAGACAGAATGATTCTCAGAAACTCCTTTGTGATGTGTGCGTTCAACTCACAGAGTTTAACCTTTCTTTTCACAGAGCAGTTAGGAAACACTCTGTTTGTGAAGCCTGCCAGTGGATAATCGGACCTCTTTGAGGCCTTCGTTGGAAACGGGATTTCTTCATATTTTGCTAGACAGAAGATTTCTCAGTAACTTCTTTGTGTTGTGTGTATGCAACTCACAGAGTTCAACCTTCCTTTAGACAGAGCAGATTTGAAACACTCTTTTTGTGGAATTTGCAAGTGGAGATTTCAAGCGCTTCGATGCCAATGGTAGAAAAGGAAATATCTTCGTATAAAAACAAGACAAACTCGTTCCCAGACACTGCATAGTGATGTGTGTGTTTAACTCACAGAGTTTCACCTTTCTTTTCATACAGCATTCTGGAAACCCTCTGTTTGTAAAGTCTGCAAGTGGATATTTGGACCTCTTAGATGCCTTCGTTGGAAACGGGATTTCTTCATATAATGCTAGAGGGAAGAATTCTTAGTAACTTCTTTGTGTTGTGTGTATTCAACTGACAGAGTTGAACCTTCCTTTAGACAGAGCAGATTTGAAAGTCTCTTTTTGTGGAATTTGCAAGTGGAGATTTCAAGCGCTTTGAGGCCAAAAGCAGAAAAGGAAATATTTTCCTATAAAAACTAGACAGAATCTTTCTCAGAAACTGCTCTGGGATGTGTGCGTTCAACTCACAGAGTTTAACTTTTCTTTTCATTCAGCAGTTTGGAAACACTCTGTTTGGAAAGTCTGCACGTGGATATTTTGACCTCTTTGAGGCCTTCGTTGGAAACGGGTTTTTTTCATGTAACGCTAGACAGAAGAAATCTCAGTAACTTCCTTGTGTTGTGTGTATTCAACTGACAGAGTTGAACCTTCCTTTAGACAGAGCAGATTCGAAACACTCTTTTTCTGCAATTTGCAAGTGGAGACTTCAAGCGCTTTGAGGCCAAAGGCAGAAAAGGAAATATCTTCGTATAAAAACCCGACAGAATCATTCTCAGAAACTGCTCTGTGATGTGTGCGTTCAACTCACAGAGTTTAACTTTTCTTTTCATTCAGCAGTTTGGAAACACTCTGTTTGTAAAGTCTGCAAGTGGATATCTTGGCCTCTTAGAGGCCTTCGTTGGAAACGGGTTTTTTCATGTAAGGATAGACAGAGGAATTCCCAGTAACTTCCTTGTGTTGTGTGCATTCAACTCACAGAGTTGAATGATTCTTTACACAGAGCAGATTTGAGACACTCTTTTGGTGGAATTTGTAAGTGGAGAATTCAGCCGCTTTGAGGTCAACGGTAGAAAAGGAAATATCTTCGTATAAAAACTAGACAGAATGATTCTCAGAAACTGTTTTGTGATGTGTGCGTTCAACTCACAGAGTTTAACCTTTCTTTTCAAAGAGCAGTTAGGAAACACTCTGTTTGTAAAGTCTGCAAGTGGATATTCAGACCTCTTTGAGGCCTTCGTTGGAAACGGGATTTCTTCATATTATGCTAGACAGATGAATTCTCAGTAACTTCCTTGTGTTGTGTGTATTCAACTCACAGAGTTGAACGATCCTTTACACAGAGCAGATTTGAAACACTGTTTTTCTGGAATTTGCAAGTGGAGATTTCAGCCGCTTTGAGGTCAATGGTAGAAAAGGAAATATCTTCGTATAAAAACTAGACAGAATGATTCTCAGAAACTCCTTTGTGATGTGTGCGTTCAACTCACAGAGTTTAACCTTTCTTTTCACAGAGCAGTTAGGAAACACTCTGTTTGTGAAGCCTGCCAGTGGATATTCGGACCTCTTTCAGGCCTTCGTTGGAAACGGGATTTCTTCATATTGTGCTAGACAAAAGATTTCTCAGTAACTTCTTTGTGTTGTGTATATGCAACTCACAGAGTTCAACCTTCCTTTAGACAGAGCAGATTTGAAACACTCTTTTTGTGGAATTTGCAAGTGGAGATTTCAAGCGCTTCGATGCCAATGGTAGAAAAGGAAATATCTTCGTATAAAAACAAGACAAACTCGTTCCCAGACACTGCGTAGTGATGTGTGTGTTTAACTCACAGAGTTTAACCTTTCTTTTCATACAGCATTCTGGAAACCCTCTGTTTGTAAAGTCTGCAAGTGGATATTTGGACCTCTTAGATGCCTTCGTTGGAAACGGGATTTCTTCATATAATGCTAGAGGGAAGAATTCTTAGTAACTTCTTTGTGTTGTGTGTATTCAACTGACAGAGTTGAACCTTCCTTTAGACAGAGCAGATTTGAAAGTCTCTTTTTGTGGAATTTGCAAGTGGAGATTTCAAGCGCTTTGAGGCCAAAAGCAGAAAAGGAAATATTTTCCTATAAAAACTCGACAGAATCTTTCTCAGAAACTGCTCTGGGATGTGTGCGTTCAACTCACAGAGTTTAACTTTTCTTTTCATTCAGCAGTTTGGAAACACTCTGTTTGGAAAGTCTGCACGTGGATATTTTGACCTCTTTGAGGCCTTCGTTGGAAACGGGTTTTTTTCATGTAAGCTAGACAGAAGAAATCTCAGTAACTTCCTTGTGTTGTGTGTATTCAACTGACAGAGTTGAACCTTCCTTTAGACAGAGCAGATTCGAAACACTCTTTTTCTGCAATTTGCAAGTGGAGACTTCAAGCGCTTTGAGGCCAAAGGCAGAAAAGGAAATATCTTCGTATAAAAACCCGACAGAATCATTCTCAGAAACTGCTCTGTGATGTGTGCGTTCAACTCACAGAGTTTAACTTTTCTTTTCATTCAGCAGTTTGGAAACACTCTGTTTGTAAAGTCTGCAAGTGGATATCTTGGCCTCTTAGAGGCCTTCGTTGGAAACGGGTTTTTTCATGTAAGGTTAGACAGAGGAATTCCCAGTAACTTCCTTGTGTTGTGTGCATTCAACTCACAGAGTTGAATGATTCTTTACACAGAGCAGATTTGAGACACTCTTTTGGTGGAATTTGTAAGTGGAGAATTCAGCCGCTTTGAGGTCAACGGTAGAAAAGGAAATATCTTCGTATAAAAACTAGACAGAATGATTCTCAGAAACTGTTTTGTGATGTGTGCGTTCAACTCACAGAGTTTAACCTTTCTTTTCAAAGAGCAGTTAGGAAACACTCTGTTTGTAAAGTCTGCAAGTGGATATTCAGACCTCTTTGAGGCCTTCGTTGGAAACGGGATTTCTTCATATTATGCTAGACAGATGAATTCTCAGTAACTTCCTTGTGTTGTGTGTATTCAACTCACAGAGTTGAACGATCCTTTACACAGAGCAGATTTGAAACACTGTTTTTCTGGAATTTGCAAGTGGAGATTTCAGCCGCTTTGAGGTCAATGGTAGAAAAGGAAATATCTTCGTATAAAAACTAGACAGAATGATTCTCAGAAACTCCTTTGTGATGTGTGCGTTCAACTCACAGAGTTTAACCTTTCTTTTCACAGAGCAGTTAGGAAACACTCTGTTTGTGAAGCCTGCCAGTGGATATTCGGACCTCTTTGAGGCCTTCGTTGGAAACGGGATTTCTTCATATTATGCTAGACAGAAGATTTCTCAGTAACTTCTTTGTGTTGTGTGTATGCAACTCACAGAGTTCAACCTTCCTTTAGACAGAGCAGATTTGAAACACTCTTTTTGTGGAATTTGCAAGTGGAGATTTCAAGCGCTTCGATGCCAATGGTAGAAAAGGAAATATCTTCGTATAAAAACAAGACAAACTCGTTCCCAGACACTGCGTAGTGATGTGTGTGTTTAACTCACAGAGTTTAACCTTTCTTTTCATACAGCATTCTGGAAACCCTGTGTTTGTAAAGTCTGCAAGTGGATATTTGGACCTCTTAGATGCCTTCGTTGGAAACGGGATTTCTTCATATAATGCTAGAGGGAAGAATTCTTAGTAACTTCTTTGTGTTGTGTGTATTCAACTGACAGAGTTGAACCTTCCTTTAGACAGAGCAGATTTGAAAGTCTCTTTTTGTGGAATTTGCAAGTGGAGATTTCAAGCGCTTTGAGGCCAAAAGCAGAAAAGGAAATATTTTCCTATAAAAACTAGACAGAATCTTTCTCAGAAACTGCTCTGGGATGTGTGCGTTCAACTCACAGAGTTTAACTTTTCTTTTCATTCAGCAGTTTGGAAACACTCTGTTTGGAAAGTCTGCACGTGGATATTTTGACCTCTTTGAGGCCTTCGTTGGAAACGGGTTTTTTTCATGTAAGGCTAGACAGAAGAAATCTCAGTAACTTCCTTGTGTTGTGTGTATTCAACTGACAGAGTTGAACCTTCCTTTAGACAGAGCAGATTCGAAACACTCTTTTTCTGCAATTTGCAAGTGGAGACTTCAAGCGCTTTGAGGCCAAAGGCAGAAAAGGAAATATCTTCGTATAAAAACCCGACAGAATCATTCTCAGAAACTGCTCTGTGATGTGTGCGTTCAACTCACAGAGTTTAACTTTTCTTTTCATTCAGCAGTTTGGAAACACTCTGTTTGTAAAGTCTGCAAGTGGATATCTTGGCCTCTTAGAGGCCTTCGTTGGAAACGGGTTTTTTCATGTAAGGTTAGACAGAGGAATTCCCAGTAACTTCCTTGTGTTGTGTGCATTCAACTCACAGAGTTGAATGATTCTTTACACAGAGCAGATTTGAGACACTCTTTTGGTGGAATTTGTAAGTGGAGAATTCATCCGCTTTGAGGTCAACGGTAGAAAAGGAAATATCTTCGTATAAAAACTAGACAGAATGATTCTCAGAAACTGTTTTGTGATGTGTGCGTTCAACTCACAGAGTTTAACCTTTCTTTTCAAAGAGCAGTTAGGAAACACTCTGTTTGTAAAGTCTGCAAGTGGATATTCAGACCTCTTTGAGGCCTTCGTTGGAAACGGGGTTTCTTCATATTATGCTAGACAGATGAATTCTCAGTAACTTCCTTGTGTTGTGTGTATTCAACTCACAGAGTTGAACGATCCTTTACACAGAGCAGATTTGAAACACTGTTTTTCTGGAATTTGCAAGTGGAGATTTCAGCCGCTTTGAGGTCAATGGTAGAAAAGGAAATATCTTCGTATAAAAACTAGACAGAATGATTCTCAGAAACTCCTTTGTGATGTGTGCGTTCAACTCACAGAGTTTAACCTTTCTTTTCACAGAGCAGTTAGGAAACACTCTGTTTGTGAAGCCTGCCAGTGGATATTCGGACCTCTTTGAGGCCTTCGTTGGAAACGGGATTTCTTCATATTATGCTATTCAGAAGATTTCTCAGTAACTTCTTTGTGTTGTGTGTATGCAACTCACAGAGTTCAACCTTCCTTTAGACAGAGCAGATTTGAAACACTCTTTTTGTGGAATTTGCAAGTGGAGATTTCAAGCGCTTCGATGCCAATGGTAGAAAAGGAAATATCTTCGTATAAAAACAAGACAAACTCGTTCCCAGACACTGCGTAGTGATGTGTGTGTTTAACTCACAGAGTTTAACCTTTCTTTTCATACAGCATTCTGGAAACCCTCTGTTTGTAAAGTCTGCAAGTGGATATTTGGACCTCTTAGATGCCTTCGTTGGAAACGGGATTTCTTCATATAATGCTAGAGGGAAGAATTCTTAGTAACTTCTTTGTGTTGTGTGTATTCAACTGACAGAGTTGAACCTTCCTTTAGACAGAGCAGATTTGAAAGTCTCTTTTTGTGGAATTTGCAAGTGGAGATTTCAAGCGCTTTGAGGCCAAAAGCAGAAAAGGAAATATTTTCCTATAAAAACTAGACAGAATCATTCTCAGAAACTGCTCTGTGATGTGTGTGTTCAACTCACAGAGTTTAACTTTCTTTTCATTCAGCAGTTTGGAAACACTCTGTTTGGAAAGTCTGCACGTGGATATTTTGACCTCTTTGAGGCCTTCGTTGGAAACGGGTTTTTTTCATGTAACGCTAGACAGAAGAAATCTCAGTAACTTCCTTGTGTTGTGTGTATTCAACTGACAGAGTTGAACCTTCCTTTAGACAGAGCAGATTCGAAACACTCTTTTTCTGCAATTTGCAAGTGGAGACTTCAAGCGCTTTGAGGCCAAAGGCAGAAAAGGAAATATCTTCGTATAAAAACCCGACAGAATCATTCTCAGAAACTGCTCTGTGATGTGTGCGTTCAACTCACAGAGTTTAACTTTTCTTTTCATTCAGCAGTTTGGAAACACTCTGTTTGTAAAGTCTGCAAGTGGATATCTTGGCCTCTTAGAGGCCTTCGTTGGAAACGGGTTTTTTCATGTAAGGTTAGACAGAGGAATTCCCAGTAACTTCCTTGTGTTGTGTGCATTCAACTCACAGAGTTGAATGATTCTTTACACAGAGCAGATTTGAGACACTCTTTTGGTGGAATTTGTAAGTGGAGAATTCAGCCGCTTTGAGGTCAACGGTAGAAAAGGAAATATCTTCGTATAAAAACTAGACAGAATGATTCTCAGAAACTGTTTTGTGATGTGTGCGTTCAACTCACAGAGTTTAACCTTTCTTTTCAAAGAGCAGTTAGGAAACACTCTGTTTGTAAAGTCTGCAAGTGGATATTCAGACCTCTTTGAGGCCTTCGTTGGAAACGGGATTTCTTCATATTATGCTAGACAGATGAATTCTCAGTAACTTCCTTGTGTTGTGTGTATTCAACTCACAGAGTTGAACGATCCTTTACACAGAGCAGATTTGAAACACTGTTTTTCTGGAATTTGCAAGTGGAGATTTCAGCCGCTTTGAGGTCAATGGTAGAAAAGGAAATATCTTCGTATAAAAACTAGACAGAATGATTCTCAGAAACTCCTTTGTGATGTGTGCGTTCAACTCACAGAGTTTAACCTTTCTTTTCACAGAGCAGTTAGGAAACACTCTGTTTGTGAAGCCTGCCAGTGGATATTCGGACCTCTTTGAGGCCTTCGTTGGAAACGGGATTTCTTCATATTATGCTAGACAGAAGATTTCTCAGTAACTTCTTTGTGTTGTGTGTATGCAACTCACAGAGTTCAACCTTCCTTTAGACAGAGCAGATTTGAAACACTCTTTTTGTGGAATTTGCAAGTGGAGATTTCAAGCGCTTCGATGCCAATGGTAGAAAAGGAAATATCTTCGTATAAAAACAAGACAAACTCGTTCCCAGACACTGCGTAGTGATGTGTGTGTTTAACTCACAGAGTTTCACCTTTCTTTTCATACAGCATTCTGGAAACCCTCTGTTTGTAAAGTCTGCAAGTGGATATTTGGACCTCTTAGATGCCTTCGTTGGAAACGGGATTTCTTCATATAATGCTAGAGGGAAGAATTCTTAGTAACTTCTTTGTGTTGTGTGTATTCAACTGACAGAGTTGAACCTTCCTTTAGACAGAGCAGATTTGAAAGTCTCTTTTTGTGGAATTTGCAAGTGGAGATTTCAAGCGCTTTGAGGTCAAAAGCAGAAAAGGAAATATTTTCCTATAAAAACTAGACAGAATCTTTCTCAGAAACTGCTCTGGGATGTGTGCGTTCAACTCACAGAGTTTAACTTTTCTTTTCATTCAGCAGTTTGGAAACACTCTGTTTGGAAAGTCTGCACGTGGATATTTTGACCTCTTTGAGGCCTTCGTTGGAAACGGGTTTTTTTCATGTAAGGCTAGACAGAAGAAATCTCAGTAACTTCCTTGTGTTGTGTGTATTCAACTGACAGAGTTGAACCTTCCTTTAGACAGAGCAGATTCGAAACACTCTTTTTCTGCAATTTGCAAGTGGAGACTTCAAGCGCTTTGAGGCCAAAGGCAGAAAAGGAAATATCTTCGTATAAAAACCCGACAGAATCATTCTCAGAAACTGCTCTGTGATGTGTGCGTTCAACTCACAGAGTTTAACTTTTCTTTTCATTCAGCAGTTTGGAAACACTCTGTTTGTAAAGTCTGCAAGTGGATATCTTGGCCTCTTAGAGGCCTTCGTTGGAAACGGGTTTTTTCATGTAAGGTTAGACAGAGGAATTCCCAGTAACTTCCTTGTGTTGTGTGCATTCAACTCACAGAGTTGAATGATTCTTTACACAGAGCAGATTTGAGACACTCTTTTGGTGGAATTTGTAAGTGGAGAATTCAGCCGCTTTGAGGTCAACGGTAGAAAAGGAAATATCTTCGTATAAAAACTAGACAGAATGATTCTCAGAAACTGTTTTGTGATGTGTGCGTTCAACTCACAGAGTTTAACCTTTCTTTTCAAAGAGCAGTTAGGAAACACTCTGTTTGTAAAGTCTGCAAGTGGATATTCAGACCTCTTTGAGGCCTTCGTTGGAAACGGGATTTCTTCATATTATGCTAGACAGATGAATTCTCAGTAACTTCCTTGTGTTGTGTGTATTCAACTCACAGAGTTAAACGATCCTTTACACAGAGCAGATTTGAAACACTGTTTTTCTGGAATTTGCAAGTGGAGATTTCAGCCGCTTTGAGGTCAATGGTAGAAAAGGAAATATCTTCGTATAAAAACTAGACAGAATGATTCTCAGAAACTCCTTTGTGATGTGTGCGTTCAACTCACAGAGTTTAACCTTTCTTTTCACAGAGCAGTTAGGAAACACTCTGTTTGTGAAGCCTGCCAGTGGATATTCGGACCTCTTTGAGGCCTTCGTTGGAAACGGGATTTCTTCATATTATGCTAGACAGAAGATTTCTCAGTAACTTCTTTGTGTTGTGTGTATGCAACTCACAGAGTTCAACCTTCCTTTAGACAGAGCAGATTTGAAACACTCTTTTTGTGGAATTTGCAAGTGGAGATTTCAAGCGCTTCGATGCCAATGGTAGAAAAGGAAATATCTTCGTATAAAAACAAGACAAACTCGTTCCCAGACACTGCGTAGTGATGTGTGTGTTTAACTCACAGAGTTTAACCTTTCTTTTCATACAGCATTCTGGAAACCCTGTGTTTGTAAAGTCTGCAAGTGGATATTTGGACCTCTTAGATGCCTTCGTTGGAAACGGGATTTCTTCATATAATGCTAGAGGGAAGAATTCTTAGTAACTTCTTTGTGTTGTGTGTATTCAACTGACAGAGTTGAACCTTCCTTTAGACAGAGCAGATTTGAAAGTCTCTTTTTGTGGAATTTGCAAGTGGAGATTTCAAGCGCTTTGAGGCCAAAAGCAGAAAAGGAAATATTTTCCTATAAAAACTAGACAGAATCTTTCTCAGAAACTGCTCTGGGATGTGTGCGTTCAACTCACAGAGTTTAACTTTTCTTTTCATTCAGCAGTTTGGAAACACTCTGTTTGGAAAGTCTGCACGTGGATATTTTGACATCTTTGAGGCCTTCGTTGGAAACGGGTTTTTTTCATGTAAGGCTAGACAGAAGAAATCTCAGTAACTTCCTTGTGTTGTGTGTATTCAACTGACAGAGTTGAACCTTCCTTTAGACAGAGCAGATTCGAAACACTCTTTTTCTGCAATTTGCAAGTGGAGACTTCAAGCGCTTTGAGGCCAAAGGCAGAAAAGGAAATATCTTCGTATAAAAACCCGACAGAATCTTTCTCAGAAACTGCTCTGTGATGTGTGCGTTCAACTCACAGCAGTTTAACTTTTCTTTTCATTCAGCAGTTTGGAAACACTCTGTTTGTAAAGTCTGCAAGTGGATATCTTGGCCTCTTAGAGGCCTTCGTTGGAAACGGGTTTTTTCATGTAAGGATAGACAGAGGAATTCCCAGTAACTTCCTTGTGTTGTGTGCATTCAACTCACAGAGTTGAATGATTCTTTACACAGAGCAGATTTGAGACACTCTTTTGGTGGAATTTGTAAGTGGAGAATTCAGCCGCTTTGAGGTCAACGGTAGAAAAGGAAATATCTTCGTATAAAAACTAGACAGAATGATTCTCAGAAACTGTTTTGTGATGTGTGCGTTCAACTCACAGAGTTTAACCTTTCTTTTCACAGAGCAGTTAGGAAACACTCTGTTTGTAAAGTCTGCAAGTGGATATTCAGACCTCTTTGAGGCCTTCGTTGGAAACGGGATTTCTTCATATTATGCTAGACAGATGAATTCTCAGTAACTTCCTTGTGTTGTGTGTATTCAACTCACAGAGTTGAACGATCCTTTACACAGAGCAGATTTGAAACACTGTTTTTCTGGAATTTGCAAGTGGAGATTTCAGCCGCTTTGAGGTCAATGGTAGAAAAGGAAATATCTTCGTATAAAAACTAGACAGAATGATTCTCAGAAACTCCTTTGTGATGTGTGCGTTCAACTCACAGAGTTTAACCTTTCTTTTCACAGAGCAGTTAGGAAACACTCTGTTTGTGAAGCCTGCCAGTGGATAATCGGACCTCTTTGAGGCCTTCGTTGGAAACGGGATTTCTTCATATTATGCTAGACAGAAGACTTCTCAGTAACTTCTTTGTGTTGTGTGTATGCAACTCACAGAGTTCAACCTTCCTTTAGACAGAGCAGATTTGAAACACTCTTTTTGTGGAATTTGCAAGTGGAGATTTCAAGCGCTTCGATGCCAATGGTAGAAAAGGAAATATCTTCGTATAAAAACAAGACAAACTCGTTCCCAGACACTGCGTAGTGATGTGTGTGTTTAACTCACTGAGTTTAACCTTTCTTTTCATACAGCATTCTGGAAACCCTCTGTTTGTAAAGTCTGCAAGTGGATATTTGGACCTCTTAGATGCCTTCGTTGGAAACGGGATTTCTTCGTATAATGCTAGAGGGAAGAATTCTTAGTAACTTCTTTGTGTTGTGTGTATTCAACTGACAGAGTTGAACCTTCCTTTAGACAGAGCAGATTTGAAAGTCTCTTTTTGTGGAATTTGCAAGTGGAGATTTCAAGCGCTTTGAGGCCAAAAGCAGAAAAGGAAATATTTTCCTATAAAAACTCGACAGAATCTTTCTCAGAAACTGCTCTGGGATGTGTGCGTTCAACTCACAGAGTTTAACTTTTCTTTTCATTCAGCAGTTTGGAAACACTCTGTTTGGAAAGTCTGCACGTGGATATTTTGACCTCTTTGAGGCCTTCGTTGGAAACGGGTTTTTTTCATGTAAGGCTAGACAGAAGAAATCTCAGTAACTTCCTTGTGTTGTGTGTATTCAACTGACAGAGTTGAACCTTCCTTTAGACAGAGCAGATTCGAAACACTCTTTTTCTGCAATTTGCAAGTGGAGACTTCAAGCGCTTTGAGGCCAAAGGCAGAAAAGGAAATATTCTTCGTATAAAAACCCGACAGAATCATTCTCAGAAACTGCTCTGTGATGTGTGAGTTCAACTCACAGAGTTTAACTTTTCTTTTCATTCAGCAGTTTGGAAACACTCTGTTTGTAAAGTCTGCAAGTGGATATCTTGGCCTCTTAGAGGCCTTCGTTGGAAACGGGTTTTTTCATGTAAGGTTAGACAGAGGAATTCCCAGTAACTTCCTTGTGTTGTGTGCATTCAACTCACAGAGTTGAATGATTCTTTACACAGAGCAGATTTGAGACACTCTTTTGGTGGAATTTGTAAGTGGAGAATTCAGCCGCTTTGAGGTCAACGGTAGAAAAGGAAATATCTTCGTATAAAAACTAGACAGAATGATTCTCAGAAACTGTTTTTTGATGTGTGCGTTCAACTCACAGAGTTTAACCTTTCTTTTCAGAGAGCAGTTAGGAAACACTCTGTTTGTAAAGTCTGCAAGTGGATATTCAGACCTCTTTGAGGCCTTCGTTGGAAACGGGATTTCTTCATATTATGCTAGACAGATGAATTCTCAGTAACTTCCTTGTGTTGTGTGTATTCAACTCACAGAGTTGAACGATCCTTTACACAGAGCAGATTTGAAACACTGTTTTTCTGGAATTTGCAAGTGGAGATTTCAGCCGCTTTGAGGTCAATGGTAGAAAAGGAAATATCTTCGTATAAAAACTAGACAGAATGATTCTCAGAAACTCCTTTGTGATGTGTGCGTTCAACTCACAGAGTTTAACCTTTCTTTTCACAGAGCAGTTAGGAAACACTCTGTTTGTGAAGCCTGCCAGTGGATATTCGGACCTCTTTGAGGCCTTCGTTGGAAACGGGATTTCTTCATATTATGCTAGACAGAAGATTTCTCAGTAACTTCTTTGTGTTGTGTGTATGCAACTCACAGAGTTCAACCTTCCTTTAGACAGAGCAGATTTGAAACACTCTTTTTGTGGAATTTGCAAGTGGAGGTTTCAAGCGCTTCGATGCCAATGGTAGAAAAGGAAATATCTTCGTATAAAAACAAGACAAACTCGTTCCCAGACACTGCGTAGTGATGTGTGTGTTTAACTCACAGAGTTTAACCTTTCTTTTCATACAGCATTCTGGAAACCCTGTGTTTGTAAAGTCTGCAAGTGGATATTTGGACCTCTTAGATGCCTTCGTTGGAAACGGGATTTCTTCATATAATGCTAGAGGGAAGAATTCTTAGTAACTTCTTTGTGTTGTGTGTATTCAACTGACAGAGTTGAACCTTCCTTTAGACAGAGCAGATTTGAAAGTCTCTTTTTGTGGAATTTGCAAGTGGAGATTTCAAGCGCTTTGAGGCCAAAAGCAGAAAAGGAAATATTTTCCTATAAAAACTCGACAGAATCTTTCTCAGAAACTGCTCTGGGATGTGTGCGTTCAACTCACAGAGTTTAACTTTTCTTTTCATTCAGCAGTTTGGAAACACTCTGTTTGGAAAGTCTGCACGTGGATATTTTGACCTCTTTGAGGCCTTCGTTGGAAACGGGTTTTTTTCATGTAAGGCTAGACAGAAGAAATCTCAGTAACTTCCTTGTGTTGTGTGTATTCAACTGACAGAGTTGAACCTTCCTTTAGACAGAGCAGATTCGAAACACTCTTTTTCTGCAATTTGCAAGTGGAGACTTCAAGCGCTTTGAGGCCAAAGGCAGAAAAGGAAATATCTTCGTATAAAAACCCGACAGAATCATTCTCAGAAACTGCTCTGTGATGTGTGCGTTCAACTCACAGAGTTTAACTTTTCTTTTCATTCAGCAGTTTGGAAACACTCTGTTTGTAAAGTCTGCAAGTGGATATCTTGGCCTCTTAGAGGCCTTCGTTGGAAACGGGTTTTTTCATGTAAGGTTAGACAGATGAATTCTCAGTAACTTCCTTGTGTTGTGTGCATTCAACTCACAGAGTTGAATGATTCTTTACACAGAGCAGATTTGAGACACTCTTTTGGTGGAATTTGATAGTGGAGAATTCAGCCGCTTTGAGGTCAACGGTAGAAAAGGAAATATCTTCGTATAAAAACTAGACAGAATGATTCTCAGAAACTGTTTTGTGATGTGTGCGTTCAACTCACAGAGTTTAACCTTTCTTTTCAAAGAGCAGTTAGGAAACACTCTGTTTGTAAAGTCTGCAAGTGGATATTCAGACCTCTTTGAGGCCTTCGTTGGAAACGGGATTTCTTCATATTATGCTAGACAGATGAATTCTCAGTAACTTCCTTGTGTTGTGTGTATTCAACTCACAGAGTTGAACGATCCTTTACACAGAGCAGATTTGAAACACTGTTTTTCTGGAATTTGCAAGTGGAGATTTCAGCCGCTTTGAGGTCAATGGTAGAAAAAGAAATATCTTCGTATAAAAACTAGACAGAATGATTCTCAGAAACTCCTTCGTGATGTGTGCGTTCAACTCACAGAGTTTAACCTTTCTTTTCACAGAGCAGTTAGGAAACACTCTGTTTGTGAAGCCTGCCAGTGGATATTCGGACCTCTTTGAGGCCTTCGTTGGAAACGGGATTTCTTCATATTATGCTAGACAGAAGATTTCTCAGTAACTTCTTTGTGTTGTGTGTATGCAACTCACAGAGTTCAACCTTCCTTTAGACAGAGCAGATTTGAAACACTCTTTTTGTGGAATTTGCAAGTGGAGATTTCAAGCGCTTCGATGCCAATGGTAGAAAAGGAAATATCTTCGTATAAAAACAAGACAAACTCGTTCCCAGACACTGCGTAGTGATGTGTGTGTTTAACTCACAGAGTTTCACCTTTCTTTTCATACAGCATTCTGGAAACCCTGTGTTTGTAAAGTCTGCAAGTGGATATTTGGACCTCTTAGATGCCTTCGTTGCAAACGGGATTTCTTCATATAATGCTAGAGGGAAGAATTCTTAGTAACTTCTTTGTGTTGTGTGTATTCAACTGACAGAGTTGAACCTTCCTTTAGACAGAGCAGATTTGAAAGTCTCTTTTTGTGGAATTTGCAAGTGGAGATTTCAAGCGCTTTGAGGCCAAAAGCAGAAAAGGAAATATTTTCCTATAAAACCTCGACAGAATCTTTCTCAGAAACTGCTCTGGGATGTGTGCGTTCAACTCACAGAGTTTAACTTTTCTTTTCATTCAGCAGTTTGGAAACACTCTGTTTGGAAAGTCTGCACGTGGATATTTTGACCTCTTTGAGGCCTTCGTTGGAAACGGGTTTTTTTCATGTAAGGCTAGACAGAAGAAATCTCAGTAACTTCCTTGTGTTGTGTGTATTCAACTGACAGAGTTGAACCTTCCTTTAGACAGAGCAGATTCGAAACACTCTTTTTCTGCAATTTGCAAGTGGAGACTTCAAGCGCTTTGAGGCCAAAGGCAGAAAAGGAAATATCTTCGTATAAAAACCCGACAGAATCATTCTCAGAAACTGCTCTGTGATGTGTGCGTTCAACTCACAGAGTTTAACTTTTCTTTTCATTCAGCAGTTTGTAAACACTCTGTTTGTAAAGTCTGCAAGTGGATATCTTGGCCTCTTAGAGGCCTTCGTTGGAAACGGGTTTTTTCATGTAAGGTTAGACAGAGGAATTCCCAGTAACTTCCTTGTGTTGTGTGCATTCAACTCACAGAGTTGAATGATTCTTTACACAGAGCAGATTTGAGACACTCTTTTGGTGGAATTTGTAAGTGGAGAATTCAGCCGCTTTGAGGTCAACGGTAGAAAAGGAAATATCTTCGTATAAAAACTAGACAGAATGATTCTCAGAAACTGTTTTGTGATGTGTGCGTTCAACTCACAGAGTTTAACCTTTCTTTTCAAAGAGCAGTTAGGAAACACTCTGTTTGTAAAGTCTGCAAGTGGATATTCAGACCTCTTTGAGGCCTTCGTTGGAAACGGGATTTCTTCATATTATGCTAGACAGATGAATTCTCAGTAACTTCCTTGTGTTGTGTGTATTCAACTCACAGAGTTGAACGATCCTTTACACAGAGCAGATTTGAAACACTGTTTTTCTGGAATTTGCAAGTGGAGATTTCAGCTGCTTTGAGGTCAATGGTAGAAAAGGAAATATCTTCGTATAAAAAACTAGACAGAATGATTCTCAGAAACTCCTTTGTGATGTGTGCGTTCAACTCACAGAGTTTAACCTTTCTTTTCACAGAGCAGTTAGGAAACACTCTGTTTGTGAAGCCTGCCAGTGGATATTCGGACCTCTTTGAGGCCTTCGTTGGAAACGGGATTTCTTCATATTATGCTAGACAGAAGATTTCTCAGTAACTTCTTTGTGTTGTGTGTATGCAACTCACAGAGTTCAACCTTCCTTTAGACAGAGCAGATTTGAAACACTCTTTTTGTGGAATTTGCAAGTGGAGATTTCAAGCGCTTTGAGGCCAAAAGCAGAAAAGGAAATATTTTCCTATAAAAACTAGACAGAATCTTTCTCAGAAACTGCTCTGTGATGAGTGCGTTCAACTCACAGAGTTTAACTTTTCTTTTCATTCAGCAGTTTGGAAACACTCTGTTTGTAAAGTCTGCAAGTGGATTTCTTGGCCTCTTAGAGGCCTTCGTTGGAAACGGGTTTTTTCATGTAAGGATAGACAGAGGAATTCCCAGTAACTTCCTTGTGTTGTGTGCGTTCAACTCACAGAGTTGAATGACTCTTTACACAGAGCAGATTTGAGACACTCTTTTGGTGCAATTTGTAAGTGGAGAATTCAGCCGCTTTGAGGTCAATGGTAGAAAAGGAAATATCTTCGTATAAAAACTAGACAGAATGATTCTCAGAAACTGTTTTGTGATGTGTGCGTTCAACTCACAGAGTTTAACCTTTCTTTTCAAAGAGCAGTTAGGAAACACTCTGTTTGTAAAGTCTGCCAGTGGATATTCAGACCTCTTTGAGGCCTTCGTTGGAAACGGGATTTCTTCATATTATGCTAGACAGAAGAATTCTCAGTAACTTCCTTGTGTTGTGTGTATTCAACTCACACAGTTGAACGATCCTTTACACAGAGCAGATTTCAAACACTCTTTTTCTGGAATTTGCAAGTGGAGATTTCAGCCGCTTTGGGGTCAATGGTAGAAAAGGAAATATCTTCGTATAAAAACTAGACAGAATGATTCTCAGAAACTCCTTTGTGATGTGTGCGTTCAACTCACAGAGTTTAACCTTTCTTTTCACAGAGCAGTTAGGAAACACTCTGTTTGTGAAGCCTGCCAGTGGATATTCGGACCTCTTTGAGGCCTTCGTTGGAAACGGGATTTCTTCATATTTTGCTAGACAGAAGATTTCTCAGTAACTTCTTTGTGTTGTGTGTATGCAACTCACAGAGTTCAACCTTCCTTTAGACAGAGCAGATTTGAAACACTCTTTTTGTGGAATTTGCAAGTGGAAATTTCAAGCACATCGATGCCAATGGTAGAAAAGGAAATATCTTCGTATAAAAACAAGACAAACTCGTTCCCAGACACTGCGTAGTGATGTGTGTGTTTAACTCACAGAGTTTAACCTTTCTTTTCATACAGCATTCTGGAAACCCTCTGTTTGTAAAGTCTGCAAGTGGATATTTGGACCTCTTAGATGCCTTCGTTGGAAACGGGATTTCTTCATATAATGCTAGAGGGAAGAATTCTTAGTAACTTCTTTGTGTTGTGTGTATTCAACTGACAGAGTTGAACCTTCCTTTAGACAGAGCAGATTTGAAAGTCTCTTTTTGTGGAATTTGCAAGTGGAGATTTCAAGCGCTTTGAGGCCAAAAGCAGAAAAGGAAATATTTTCCTATAAAAACTCGACAGAATCTTTCTCAGAAACTGCTCTGGGATGTGTGCGTTCAACTCACAGAGTTTAACTTTTCTTTTCATTCAGCAGTTTGGAAACACTCTGTTTGGAAAGTCTGCACGTGGATATTTTGACCTCTTTGAGGCCTTCGTTGGAAACGGGTTTTTTTCATGTAAGGCTAGACAGAAGAAATCTCAGTAACTTCCTTGTGTTGTGTGTATTCAACTGACAGAGTTGAACCTTCCTTTAGACAGAGCAGATTCGAAACACTCTTTTTCTGCAATTTGCAAGTGGAGACTTCAAGCGCTTTGAGGCCAAAGGCAGAAAAGGAAATATCTTCGTATAAAAACCCGACAGAATCATTCTCAGAAACTGCTCTGTGATGTGTGCGTTCAACTCACAGAGTTTAACTTTTCTTTTCATTCAGCAGTTTGGAAACACTCTGTTTGTAAAGTCTGCAAGTGGATATCTTGGCCTCTTAGAGGCCTTCGTTGGAAGCGGGTTTTTTCATGTAAGGATAGACAGAGGAATTCCCAGTAACTTCCTTGTGTTGTATGCATTCAACTCACAGAGTTGAATGATTCTTTACACAGAGCAGATTTGAGACACTCTTTTGGTGGAATTTGAAAGTGGAGAATTCAGCCGCTTTGAGGTCAACGGTAGAAAAGGAAATATCTTCGTATAAAAACTAGAAAGAATGATTCTCAGAAACTGTTTTGTGATGTGTGCGTTCAACTCACAGAGTTTAACCTTTCTTTTCAAAGAGCAGTTAGGAAACACTCTGTTTGTAAAGTCTGCAAGTGGATATTCAGACCTCTTTGAGGCCTTCGTTGGAAACGGGATTTCTTCATATTATGCTAGACAGATGAATTCTCAGTAACTTCCTTGTGTTGTGTGTATTCAACTCACAGAGTTGAACGATCCTTTACACAGAGCAGATTTGAAACACTGTTTTTCTGGAATTTGCAAGTGGAGATTTCAGCCGCTTTGAGGTCAATGGTAGAAAAAGAAATATCTTCGTATAAAAACTAGACAGAATGATTCTCAGAAACTCCTTTGTGATGTGTGCGTTCAACTCACAGAGTTTAACCTTTCTTTTCACAGAGCAGTTAGGAAACACTCTGTTTGTGAAGCCTGCCAGTGGATATTCGGACCTCTTTGAGGCCTTCGTTGGAAACGGGATTTCTTCATATTATGCTAGACAGAAGATTTCTCAGTAACTTCTTTGTGTTGTGTGTATGCAACTCACAGAGTTCAACCTTCCTTTAGACAGAGCAGATTTGAAACACTCTTTTTGTGGAATTTGCAAGTGGAGATTTCAAGCGCTTCGATGCCAATGGTAGAAAAGGAAATATCTTCGTATAAAAACAAGACAAACTCGTTCCCAGACACTGCGTAGTGATGTGTGTGTTTAACTCACAGAGTTTAACCTTTCTTTTCATACAGCATTCTGGAAACCCTCTGTTTGTAAAGTCTGCAAGTGGATATTTGGACCTCTTAGATGCCTTCGTTGGGAACGGGATTTCTTCATATAATGCTAGAGGGAAGAATTCTTAGTAACTTCTTTGTGTTGTGTGTATTCAACTGACAGAGTTGAACCTTCCTTTAGACAGAGCAGATTTGAAAGTCTCTTTTTGTGGAATTTGCAAGTGGAGATTTCAAGCGCTTTGAGGCCAAAAGCAGAAAAGGAAATATTTTCCTATAAAACCTCGACAGAATCTTTCTCAGAAACTGCTCTGGGATGTGTGCGTTCAACTCACAGAGTTTAACTTTTCTTTTCATTCAGCAGTTTGGAAACACTCTGTTTGGAAAGTCTGCACGTGGATATTTTGACCTCTTTGAGGCCTTCGTTGGAAACGGGTTTTTTTCATGTAAGGCTAGACAGAAGAAATCTCAGTAACTTCCTTGTGTTGTGTGTATTCAACTGACAGAGTTGAACCTTCCTTTAGACAGAGCAGATTCGAAACACTCTTTTTCTGCAATTTGCAAGTGGAGACTTCAAGCGCTTTGAGGCCAAAGGCAGAAAAGGAAATATCTTCGTATAAAAACCCGACAGAATCATTCTCAGAAACTGCTCTGTGATGTGTGCGTTCAACTCACAGAGTTTAACTTTTCTTTTCATTCAGCAGTTTGGAAACACTCTGTTTGTAAAGTCTGCAAGTGGATATCTTGGCCTCTTAGAGGCCTTCGTTGGAAACGGGTTTTTTCATGTAAGGTTAGACAGAGGAATTCCCAGTAACTTCCTTGTGTTGTGTGCATTCAACTCACAGAGTTGAATGATTCTTTACACAGAGCAGATTTGAGACACTCTTTTGGTGGAATTTGTAAGTGGAGAATTCAGCCGCTTTGAGGTCAACGGTAGAAAAGGAAATATCTTCGTATAAAAACTAGACAGAATGATTCTCAGAAACTGTTTTGTGATGTGTGCGTTCAACTCACAGAGTTTAACCTTTCTTTTCAAAGAGCAGTTAGGAAACACTCTGTTTGTAAAGTCTGCAAGTGGATATTCAGACCTCTTTGAGGCCTTCGTTGGAAACGGGATTTCTTCATATTATGCTAGACAGATGAATTCTCAGTAACTTCCTTGTGTTGTGTGTATTCAACTCACAGAGTTAAACGATCCTTTACACAGAGCAGATTTGAAACACTGTTTTTCTGGAATTTGCAAGTGGAGATTTCAGCCGCTTTGAGGTCAATGGTAGAAAAGGAAATATCTTCGTATAAAAACTAGACAGAATGATTCTCAGAAACTCCTTTGTGATGTGTGCGTTCAACTCACAGAGTTTAACCTTTCTTTTCACAGAGCAGTTAGGAAACACTCTGTTTGTGAAGCCTGCCAGTGGATATTCGGACCTCTTTGAGGCCTTCGTTGGAAACGGGATTTCTTCATATTATGCTAGACAGAAGATTTCTCAGTAACTTCTTTGGGTTGTGTGTATGCAACTCACAGAGTTCAACCTTCCTTTAGACAGAGCAGATTTGAAACACTCTTTTTGTGGAATTTGCAAGTGGAGATTTCAAGCGCTTCGATGCCAATGGTAGAAAAGGAAATATCTTCGTATAAAAACAAGACAAACTCGTTCCCAGACACTGCGTAGTGATGTGTGTGTTTAACTCACAGAGTTTAACCTTTCTTTTCATACAGCATTCTGGAAACCCTGTGTTTGTAAAGTCTGCAAGTGGATATTTGGACCTCTTAGATGCCTTCGTTGGAAACGGGATTTCTTCATATAATGCTAGAGGGAAGAATTCTTAGTAACTTCTTTGTGTTGTGTGTATTCAACTGACAGAGTTGAACCTTCCTTTAGACAGAGCAGATTTGAAAGTCTCTTTCTGTGGAATTTGCAAGTGGAGATTTCAAGCGCTTTGAGGCCAAAAGCAGAAAAGGAAATATTTTCCTATAAAAACTCGACAGAATCTCTCTCAGAAACTGCTCTGGGATGTGTGCGTTCAACTCACAGAGTTTAACTTTTCTTTTCATTCAGCAGTTTGGAAACACTCTGTTTGGAAAGTCTGCACGTGGATATTTTGACCTCTTTGAGGCCTTCGTTGGAAACGGGTTTTTTTCATGTAAGGCTAGACAGAAGAAATCTCAGTAACTTCCTTGTGTTGTGTGTATTCAACTGACAGAGTTGAACCTTCCTTTAGACAGAGCAGATTCGAAACACTCTTTTTCTGCAATTTGCAAGTGGAGACTTCAAGCGCTTTGAGGCCAAAGGCAGAAAAGGAAATATCTTCGTATAAAAACCCGACAGAATCATTCTCAGAAACTGCTCTGTGATGTGTGCGTTCAACTCACAGAGTTTAACTTTTCTTTTCATTCAGCAGTTTGGAAACACTCTGTTTGTAAAGTCTGCAAGTGGATATCTTGGCCTCTTAGAGGCCTTCGTTGGAAACGGGTTTTTTCATGTAAGGATAGACAGAGGAATTCCCAGTAACTTCCTTGTGTTGTGTGCATTGAACTCACAGAGTTGAATGATTCTTTACACAGAGCAGATTTGAGACACTCTTTTGGTGGAATTTGTAAGTGGAGAATTCAGCCGCTTTGGGGTCAACGGTAGAAAAGGAAATATCCTTCGTATAAAAACTAGACAGAATGATTCTCAGAAACTGTTTTGTGATGTGTGCTTTCAACTCACAGAGTTTAACCTTTCTTTTCAAAGAGCAGTTAGGAAACACTCTGTTTGTAAAGTCTGCAAGTGGATATTCAGACCTCTTTGAGGCCTTCGTTGGAAACGGGATTTCTTCATATTATGCTAGACAGATGAATTCTCAGTAACTTCCTTGTGTTGTGTGTATTCAACTCACAGAGTTGAACGATCCTTTACACAGAGCAGATTTGAAACACTGTTTTTCTGGAATTTGCAAGTGGAGATTTCAGCCGCTTTGAGGTCAATGGTAGAAAAGGAAATATCTTCGTATAAAAACTAGACAGAATGATTCTCAGAAACTCCTTTGTGATGTGTGCGTTCAACTCACAGAGTTTAACCTTTCTTTTCACAGAGCAGTTAGGAAACACTCTGTTTGTGAAGCCTGCCAGTGGATATTCAGACCTCTTTGAGGCCTTCGTTGGAAACGGGATTTCTTCATATTATGCTAGACAGAAGATTTCTCAGTAACTTCTTTGTGTTGTGTGTATGCAACTCACAGAGTTCAACCTTCCTTTAGACAGAGCAGATTTGAAACACTCTTTTTGTGGAATTTGCAAGTGGAGATTTCAAGCGCTTCGATGCCAATGGTAGAAAAGGAAATATCTTCGTATAAAAACAAGACAAACTCGTTCCCAGACACTGCGTAGTGATGTGTGTGTTTAACTCACAGAGTTTCACCTTTCTTTTCATACAGCATTCTGGAAACCCTGTGTTTGTAAAGTCTGCAAGTGGATATTTGGACCTCTTAGATGCCTTCGTTGGAAACGGGATTTCTTCATATAATGCTAGAGGGAAGAATTCTTAGTAACTTCTTTGTGTTGTGTGTATTCAACTGACAGAGTTGAACCTTCCTTTAGACAGAGCAGATTTGAAAGTCTCTTTTTGTGGAATTTGCAAGTGGAGATTTCAAGCGCTTTGAGGCCGAAAGCAGAAAAGGAAATATTTTCCTATAAAAACTCGACAGAATCTTTCTCAGAAACTGCTCTGGGATGTGTGCGTTCAACTCACAGAGTTTAACTTTTCTTTTCATTCAGCAGTTTGGAAACACTCTGTTTGGAAAGTCTGCACGTGGATATTTTGACCTCTTTGAGGCCTTCGTTGGAAACGGGTTTTTTTCATGTAAGGCTAGACAGAAGAAATCTCAGTAACTTCCTTGTGTTGTGTGTATTCAACTGACAGAGTTGAACCTTCCTTTAGACAGAGCAGATTCGAAACACTCTTTTTCTGCAATTTGCAAGTGGAGACTTCAAGCGCTTTGAGGCCAAAGGCAGAAAAGGAAATATCTTCGTATAAAAACCCGACAGAATCATTCTCAGAAACTGCTCTGTGATGTGTGCGTTCAACTCACAGAGTTTAACTTTTCTTTTCATTCAGCAGTTTGGAAACACTCTGTTTGTAAAGTCTGCAAGTGGATATCTTGGCCTCTTAGAGGCCTTCGTTGGTAGCGGGTTTTTTCATGTAAGGCTAGACAGAGGAATTCCCACTAACTTCCTTGTGTTGTGTGCATTCAACTCACAGAGTTGAATGATTCTTTACACAGAGCAGATTTGAGACACTCTTTTGGTGGAATTTGTAAGTGGAGAATTCAGCCGCTTTGATGTCAACGGTAGAAAAGGAAATATCTTCGTATAAAAACTAGACAGAATGATTCTCAGAAACTGTTTTGTGATGTGTGCTTTCAACTCACAGAGTTTAACCTTTCTTTTCAAAGAGCAGTTAGGAAACACTCTGTTTGTAAAGTCTGCAAGTGGATATTCAGACCTCTTTGAGGCCTTCGTTGGAAACGGGATTTCTTCATATTATGCTAGACAGATGAATTCTCAGTAACTTCCTTGTGTTGTGTGTATTCAACTCACAGAGTTGAACGATCCTTTACACAGAGCAGATTTGAAACACTGTTTTTCTGGAATTTGCAAGTGGAGATTTCAGCCGCTTTGAGGTCAATGGTAGAAAAAGAAATATCTTCGTATAAAAACTAGACAGAATGATTCTCAGAAACTCCTTTGTGATGTGTGCCTTCAACTCACAGAGTTTAACCTTTCTTTTCACAGAGCAGTTAGGAAACACTCTGTTTGTGAAGCCTGCCAGTGGATATTCGGACCTCTTTGAGGCCTTCGTTGGAAACGGGATTTCTTCATATTATGCTAGACAGAAGATTTCTCAGTAACTTCTTTGTGTTGTGTGTATGCAACTCACAGAGTTCAACCTTCCTTTAGACAGAGCAGATTTGAAACACTCTTTTTGTGGAATTTGCAAGTGGAGATTTCAAGCGCTTCGATGCCAATGGTAGAAAAGGAAATATCTTCGTATAAAAACAAGACAAACTCGTTCCCAGACACTGCGTAGTGATGTGTGTGTTTAACTCACAGAGTTTCACCTTTCTTTTCATACAGCATTCTGGAAACCCTCTGTTTGTAAAGTCTGCAAGTGGATATTTGGACCTCTTAGATGCCTTCGTTGGAAACGGGATTTCTTCATATAATGCTAGAGGGAAGAATTCTTAGTAACTTCTTTGTGTTGTGTGTATTCAACTGACAGAGTTGAACCTTCCTTTAGACAGAGCAGATTTGAAAGTCTCTTTTTGTGGAATTTGCAAGTGGAGATTTCAAGCGCTTTGAGGCCAAAAGCAGAAAAGGAAATATTTTCCTATAAAAACTAGACAGAATCATTCTCAGAAACTGCTCTGTGATGTGTGTGTTCAACTCACAGAGTTTAACTTTCTTTTCATTCAGCAGTTTGGAAACACTCTGTTTGGAAAGTCTGCACGTGGATATTTTGACCTCTTTGAGGCCTTCGTTGGAAACGGGTTTTTTTCATGTAAGGCTAGACAGAAGAAATCTCAGTAACTTCCTTGTGTTGTGTGTATTCAACTGACAGAGTTGAACCTTCCTTTAGACAGAGCAGATTCGAAACACTCTTTTTCTGCAATTTGCAAGTGGAGACTTCAAGCGCTTTGAGGCCAAAGGCAGAAAAGGAAATATCTTCGTATAAAAACCCGACAGAATCATTCTCAGAAACTGCTCTGTGATATGTGCGTTCAACTCACAGAGTTTAACTTTTCTTTTCATTCAGCAGTTTGGAAACACTCTGTTTGTAAAGTCTGCAAGTGGATATCTTGGCCTCTTAGAGGCCTTCGTTGGAAACGGGTTTTTTCATGTAAGGTTAGACAGAGGAATTCCCAGTAACTTCCTTGTGTTGTGTGCATTCAACTCACAGAGTTGAATGATTCTTTACACAGAGCAGATTTGAGACACTTTTTTGGTGGAATTTGTAAGTGGAGAATTCAGCCGCTTTGAGGTCAACGGTAGAAAAGGAAATATCTTCGTATAAAAACTAGACAGAATGATTCTCAGAAACTGTTTTGTGATGTGTGCGTTCAACTCACAGAGTTTAACCTTTCTTTTCAAAGAGCAGTTAGGAAACACTCTGTTTGTAAAGTCTGCAAGCGGATATTCAGACCTCTTTGAGGCCTTCGTTGGAAACGGGATTTCTTCATATTATGCTAGACAGATGAATTCTCAGTAACTTCCTTGTGTTGTGTGTATTCAACTCACAGAGTTGAACGATCCTTTACACAGAGCAGATTTGAAACACTGTTTTTCTGGAATTTGCAAGTGGAGATGTCAGCCGCTTTGAGGTCAATGGTAGAAAAGGAAATATCTTCGTATAAAAACTAGACAGAATGATTCTCAGAAACTCCTTTGTGATGTGTGCGTTCAACTCACAGAGTTTAACCTTTCTTTTCACAGAGCAGTTAGGAAACACTCTGTTTGTGAAGCCTGCCAGGGGATATTCGGACCTCTTTGAGGCCTTCGTTGGAAACGGGATTTCTTCATATTATGCTAGACAGAAGATTTCTCAGTAACTTCTTTGTGTTGTGTGTATGCAACTCACAGAGTTCAACCTTCCTTTAGACAGAGCAGATTTGAAACACTCTTTTTGTGGAATTTGCAAGTGGAAATTTCAAGCGCATCGATGCCAATGGTAGAAAAGGAAATATCTTCGTATAAAAACAAGACAAACTCGTTCCCAGACACTGCGTAGTGATGTGTGTGTTTAACTCACAGAGTTTAACCTTTCTTTTCATACAGCATTCTGGAAACCCTGTGTTTGTAAAGTCTGCAAGTGGATATTTGGACCTCTTAGATGCCTTCGTTGGAAACGGGATTTCTTCATATAATGCTAGAGGGAAGAATTCTTAGTAACTTCTTTGTGTTGTGTGTATTCAACTGACAGAGTTGAACCTTCCTTTAGACAGAGCAGATTTGAAAGTCTCTTTTTGTGGAATTTGCAAGTGGAGATTTCAAGCGCTTTGAGGCCAAAAGCAGAAAAGGAAATATTTTCCTATAAAAACTAGACAGAATCTTTCTCAGAAACTGCTCTGGGATGTGTGCGTTCAACTCACAGAGTTTAACTTTTCTTTTCATTCAGCAGTTTGGAAACACTCTGTATGGAAAGTCTGCACGTGGATATTTTGACCTCTTTGAGGCCTTCGTTGGAAACGGGTTTTTTTCATGTAAGGCTAGACAGAAGAAATCTCAGTAACTTCCTTGTGTTGTGTGTATTCAACTGACAGAGTTGAACCTTCCTTTAGACAGAGCAGATTCGAAACACTCTTTTTCTGCAATTTGCAAGTGGAGACTTCAAGCGCTTTGAGGCCAAAGGCAGAAAAGGAAATATCTTCGTATAAAAACCCGACAGAATCATTCTCAGAAACTGCTCTGTGATGTGTGCGTTCAACTCACAGAGTTTAACTTTTCTTTTCATTCAGCAGTTTGGAAACACTCTGTTTGTAAAGTCTGCAAGTGGATATCTTGGCCTCTTAGAGGCCTTCGTTGGAAGCGGGTTTTTTCATGTAAGGATAGACAGAGGAATTCCCAGTAACTTCCTTGTGTTGTGTGCATTCAACTCACAGAGTTGAATGATTCTTTACACAGAGCAGATTTGAGACACTCTTTTGGTGGAATTTGTAAGTGGAGAATTCAGCCGCTTTGAGGTCAACGGTAGAAAAGGAAATATCTTCGTATAAAAACTAGACAGAATGATTCTCAGAAACTGTTTTGTGATGTGTGCGTTCAACTCACAGAGTTTAACCTTTCTTTTCAAAGAGCAGTTAGGAAACACTCTGTTTGTAAAGTCTGCAAGTGGATATTCAGACCTCTTTGAGGCCTTCGTTGGAAACGGGATTTCTTCATATTATGCTAGACAGATGAATTCTCAGTAACTTCCTTGTGTTGTGTGTATTCAACTCACAGAGTTGAACGATCCTTTACACAGAGCAGATTTGAAACACTGTTTTTCTTGAATTTGCAAGTGGAGATTTCAGCCGCTTTGAGGTCAATGGTAGAAAAAGAAATATCTTCGTATAAAAACTAGACAGAATGATTCTCAGAAACTCCTTTGTGATGTGTGCGTTCAACTCACAGAGTTTAACCTTTCTTTTCACAGAGCAGTTAGGAAACACTCTGTTTGTGAAGCCTGCCAGTGGATATTCGGACCTCTTTGAGGCCTTCGTTGGAAACGGGATTTCTTCATATTATGCTAGACAGAAGATTTCTCAGTAACTTCTTTGTGTTGTGTGTATGCAACTCACAGAGTTCAACCTTCCTTTAGACAGAGCAGATTTGAAACACTCTTTTTGTGGAATTTGCAAGTGGAGATTTCAAGCGCTTCGATGCCAATGGTAGAAAAGGAAATATCTTCGTATAAAAACAAGACAAACTCGTTCCCAGACACTGCGTAGTGATGTGTGTGTTTAACTCACAGAGTTTCACCTTTCTTTTCATACAGCATTCTGGAAACCCTCTGTTTGTAAAGTCTGCAAGTGGATATTTGGACCTCTTAGATGCCTTCGTTGGAAACGGGATTTCTTCATATAATGCTAGAGGGAAGAATTCTTAGTAACTTCTTTGTGTTGTGTGTATTCAACTGACAGAGTTGAACCTTCCTTTAGACAGAGCAGATTTGAAAGTCTCTTTTTGTGGAATTTGCAAGTGGAGATTTCAAGCGCTTTGAGGCCAAAAGCAGAAAAGGAAATGTTTTCCTATAAAAACTAGACAGAATCTTTCTCAGAAACTGCTCTGGGATGTGTGCGTTCAACTCACAGAGTTTAACTTTTCTTTTCATTCAGCAGTTTGGAAACACTCTGTTTGGAAAGTCTGCACGTGGATATTTTGACCTCTTTGAGGCCTTCGTTGGAAACGGGTTTTTTTCATGTAAGGCTAGACAGAAGAAATCTCAGTAACTTCCTTGTGTTGTGTGTATTCAACTGACAGAGTTGAACCTTCCTTTAGACAGAGCAGATTCGAAACACTCTTTTTCTGCAATTTGCAAGTGGAGACTTCAAGCGCTTTGAGGCCAAAGGCAGAAAAGGAAATATCTTCGTATAAAAACCCGACAGAATCATTCTCAGAAACTGCTCTGTGATGTGTGCGTTCAACTCACAGAGTTTAACTTTTCTTTTCATTCAGCAGTTTGGAAACACTCTGTTTGTAAAGTCTGCAAGTGGATATCTTGGCCTCTTAGAGGCCTTCGTTGGAAACGGGTTTTTTCATGTAAGGATACACACAGGAATTCCCAGTAACTTCCTTGTGTTGTGTGCATTCAACTCACAGAGTTGAATGATTCTTTACACAGAGCAGATTTGAGACACTCTTTTGGTGGAATTTGTAAGTGGAGAATTCAGCCGCTTTGAGGTCAACGGTAGAAAAGGAAATATCTTCGTATAAAAACTAGACAGAATGATTCTCAGAAACTGTTTTGTGATGTGTGCGTTCAACTCACAGAGTTTAACCTTTCTTTTCAAAGAGCAGTTAGGAAACACTCTGTTTGTAAAGTCTGCAAGTGGATATTCAGACCTCTTTGAGGCCTTCGTTGGAAACTGGATTTCTTCATATTATGCTAGACAGATGAATTCTCAGTAATTTCCTTGTGTTGTGTGTATTCAACTCACAGAGTTGAACGATCCTTTACACAGAGCAGATTTGAAACACTGTTTTTCTGGAATTTGCAAGTGGAGATTTCAGCCGCTTTGCGTCAATGGTAGAAAAAGAAATATCTTCGTATAAAAACTAGACAGAATGATTCTCAGAAACTCCTTTGTGATGTGTGCGTTCAACTCACAGAGTTTAACCTTTCTTTTCACAGAGCAGTTAGGAAACACTCTGTTTGTGAAGCCTGCCAGTGGATATTCGGACCTCTTTGAGGCCTTCGTTGGAAACGGGATTTCTTCATATTATGCTAGACAGAAGATTTCTCAGTAAGTTCTTTGCGTTGTGTGTATGCAACTCACAGAGTTCAACCTTCCTTTAGACAGAGCAGATTTGAAACACTCTTTTTGTGGAATTTGCAAGTGGAGATTTCAAGCGCTTCGATGCCAATGGTAGAAAAGGAAATATCTTCGTAGAAAAACAAGACAAACTCGTTCCCAGACACTGCGTAGTGATGTGTGTGTTTAACTCACAGAGTTTAACCTTTCTTTTCATACAGCATTCTGGAAACCCTGTGTTTGTAAAGTCTGCAAGTGGATATTTGGACCTCTTAGATGCCTTCGTTGGAAACGGGATTTCTTCATATAATGCTAGAGGGAAGAATTCTTAGTAACTTCTTTGTGTTGTGTGTATTCAACTGACAGAGTTGAACCTTCCTTTAGACAGAGCAGATTTGAAAGTCTCTTTTTGTGGAATTTGCAAGTGGAGATTTCAAGCGCTTTGAGGCCAAAAGCAGAAAAGGAAATATTTTCCTATAAAAACTCGACAGAATCTTTCTCAGAAACTGCTCTGGGATGTGTGCGTTCAACTCACAGAGTTTAACTTTTCTTTCCATTCAGCAGTTTGGAAACACTCTGTTTGGAAAGTCTGCACGTGGATATTTTGACCTCTTTGAGGCCTTCGTTGGAAACGGGTTTTTTTCTTGTAAGGCTAGACAGAAGAAATCTCAGTAACTTCCTTGTGTTGTGTGTATTCAACTGACAGAGTTGAACCTTCCTTTAGACAGAGCAGATTCGAAACACTCTTTTTCTGCAATTTGCAAGTGGAGACTTCAAGCGCTTTGAGGCCAAAGGCAGAAAAGGAAATATCTTCGTATAAAAACCCGACAGAATCATTCTCAGAAACTGCTCTGGGATGTGTGCGTTCAACTCACAGAGTTTAACTTTTCTTTTCATTCAGCAGTTTGGAAACACTCTGTTTGTAAAGTCTGCAAGTGGATATCTTGGCCTCTTAGAGGCCTTCGTTGGAAACGGGTTTTTTCATGTAAGGTTAGACAGAGGAATTCCCAGTAACTTCCTTGTGTTGTGTGCATTCAACTCACAGAGTTGAATGATTCTTTACACAGAGCAGATTTGAGACACTCTTTGGGTGGAATTTGTAAGTGGAGAATTCAGCCGCTTTGAGGTCAACGGTAGAAAAGGAAATACCTTCGTATAAAAACTAGACAGAATGATTCTCAGAAACTGTTTTGTGATGTGTGCGTTCAACTCACAGAGTTTAACCTTTCTTTTCAAAGAGCAGTTAGGAAACACTCTGTTTGTAAAGTCTGCAAGTGGATATTCAGACCTCTTTGAGGCCTTCGTTGGAAACGGGATTTCTTCATATTATGCTAGACAGATGAATTCTCAGTAACTTCCTTGTGTTGTGTGTATTCAGCTCACAGAGTTGAACGATCCTTTACACAGAGCAGATTTGAAACACTGTTTTTCTGGAATTTGCAAGTGGAGATTTCAGCCGCTTTGAGGTCAATGGTAGAAAAGGAAATATCTTCGTATAAAAACTAGACAGAATGATTCTCAGAAACTCCTTTGTGATGTGTGCGTTCAACTCACAGAGTTTAACCTTTCTTTTCACAGAGCAGTTAGGAAACACTCTGTGAAGCCTGCCAGTGGATATTCGGACCTCTTTGAGGCCTTCGTTGGAAACGGGATTTCTTCATATTATGCTAGACAGAAGATTTCTCAGTAACTTCTTTGGGTTGTGTGTATGCAACTCACAGAGTTCAACCTTCTTTTAGACAGAGCAGATTTGAAACACTCTTTTTGTGGAATTTGCAAGTGGAGATTTCAAGCGCTTCGATGCCAATGGTAGAAAAGGAAATATCTTCGTATAAAAACAAGACAAACTCGTTCCCAGACACTGCGTAGTGATGTGTGTGTTTAACTCACAGAGTTTAACCTTTCTTTTCATACAGCATTCTGGAAACCCTGTGTTTGTAAAGTCTGCAAGTGGATATTTGGACCTCTTAGATGCCTTCTTTGGAAATGGGATTTCTTCATATAATGCTAGAGGGAAGAATTCTTAGTAACTTCTTTGTGTTGTGTGTATTCAACTGACAGAGTTGAACCTTCCTTTAGACAGAGCAGATTTGAAAGTCTCTTTTTGTGGAATTTGCAAGTGGAGATTTCAAGCGCTTTGAGGCCAAAAGCAGAAAAGGAAATATTTTCCTATAAAAACTCGACAGAATCTTTCTCAGAAACTGCTCTGGGATGTGTGCGTTCAACTCACAGAGTTTAACTTTTCTTTTCATTCAGCAGTTTGGAAACACCCTGTTTGGAAAGTCTGCACGTGGATATTTTGACCTCTTTGAGGCCTTCGTTGGAAACGGGTTTTTTTCATGTAAGGCTAGACAGAAGAAATCTCAGTAACTTCCTTGTGTTGTGTGTATTCAACTGACAGAGTTGAACCTTCCTTTAGACAGAGCAGATTCGAAACACTCTTTTTCTGCAATTTGCAAGTGGAAACTTCAAGCGCTTTGAGGCCAAAGGCAGAAAAGGAAATATCTTCGTATAAAAACCCGACAGAATCACTCTCAGAAATTGCTCTGTGATGTGTGCGTTCAACTCACAGAGTTTAACTTTTCTTTTCATTCAGCAGTTTGGAAACACTCTGTTTGTAAAGTCTGCAAGTGGATATCTTGGCCTCTTAGAGGCCTTCGTTGGAAACGGGTTTTTTCATGTAAGGTTAGACAGAGGAATTCCCAGTAACTTCCTTGTGTTGTGTGCATTCAACACACAGAGTTGAATGATTCTTTACAAAGAGCAGATTTGAGACTCTCTTTTGGTGGAATTTGTAAGTGGAGAATTCAGCCGCTTTGAGGTCAACGGTAGAAAAGGAAATATCTTCGTATAAAAACTAGACAGAATGATTCTCAGAAACTGTTTTGTGATGTGTGCGTTCAACTCACAGAGTTTAACCTTTCTTTTCAAAGAGCAGTTAGGAAACACTCTGTTTGTAAAGTCTGCAAGTGGATATTCAGACCTCTTTGAGGCCTTCGTTGGAAACGGGATTTCTTCATATTATGCTAGACAGATGAATTCTCAGTAACTTCCTTGTGTTGTGTGTATTCAACTCACAGAGTTGAACGATCCTTTACACAGAGCAGATTTGAAACACTGTTTTTCTGGAATTTGCAAGTGGAGATTTCAGCCGCTTTGAGGTCAATGGTAGAAAAGGAAATATCTTCGTATAAAAACTAGACAGAATGATTCTCAGAAACTCCTTTGTGATGTGTGCGTTCAACTCACAGAGTTTAACCTTTCTTTTCACAGAGCAGTTAGGAAACACTCTGTTTGTGAAGCCTGCCAGTGGATATTCGGACCTCTTTGAGGCCTTCGTTGGAAACGGGATTTCTTCATATTATGCTAGACAGAAGATTTCTCAGTAACTTCTTTGTGTTGTGTGTATGCAACTCACAGAGTTCAACCTTCCTTTAGACAGAGCAGATTTGAAACACTCTTTTTGTGGAATTTGCAAGTGGAGATTTCAAGCGCTTCGATGCCAATGGTAGAAAAGGAAATATCTTCGTATAAAAACAAGACAAACTCGTTCCCAGACACTGCGTAGTGATGTGTGTGTTTAACTCACAGAGTTTAACCTTTCTTTTCATACAGCATTCTGGAAACCCTGTGTTTGTAAAGTCTGCAAGTGGATATTTGGACCTCTTAGATGCCTTCGTTGGAAACGGGATTTCTTCATATAATGCTAGAGGGAAGAATTCTTAGTAACTTCTTTGTGTTGTGTGTATTCAACTGACAGAGTTGAACCTTCCTTTAGACAGAGCAGATTTGAAAGTCTCTTTTTGTGGAATTTGCAAGTGGAGATTTCAAGCGCTTTGAGGCCAAAAGCAGAAAAGGAAATATTTTCCTATAAAAACTCGACAGAATCATTCTCAGAAACTGCTCTGTGATGTGTGCGTTCAACTCACAGAGTTTAACTTTTCTTTTCATTCAGCAGTTTGGAAACACTGTTTGGAAAGTCTGCACGTGGATATTTTGACCTCTTTGAGGCCTTCGTTGGAAACGGGTTTTTTTCATGTAAGGCTAGACAGAAGAAATCTCAGTAACTTCCTTGTGTTGTGTGTATTCAACTGACAGAGTTGAACCTTCCTTTAGACAGAGCAGATTCGAAACACTCTTTTTCTGCAATTTGCAAGTGGAGACTTCAAGCGCTTTGAGGCCAAAGGCAGAAAAGGAAATATCTTCGTATAAAAACCCGACAGAATCATTCTCAGAAACTGCTCTGTGATGTGTGCGTTCAACTCACAGAGTTTAACTTTTCTTTTCATTCAGCAGTTTGGAAACACTCTGTTTGTAAAGTCTGCAAGTGGATATCTTGGCCTCTTAGAGGCCTTCGTTGGAAACGGGTTTTTTCATGTAAGGTTAGACAGAGGAATTCCCAGTAACTTCCTTGTGTTGTGTGCATTCAACTCACAGAGTTGAATGATTCTTTACACAGAGCAGATTTGAGACACTCTTTTGGTGGAATTTGTAAGTGGAGAATTCAGCCGCTTTGAGGTCAACGGTAGAAAAGGAAATATCTTCGTATAAAAACTAGACAGAATGATTCTCAGAAACTGTTTTGTGATGTGTGCGTTCAACTCACAGAGTTTAACCTTTCTTTTCAAAGAGCAGTTAGGAAACACTCTGTTTGTAAAGTCTGCAAGTGGATATTCAGACCTCTTTGAGGCCTTCGTTGGAAACGGGATTTCTTCATATTATGCTAGACAGATGAATTCTCAGTAACTTCCTTGTGTTGTGTGTATTCAACTCACAGAGTTGAACGATCCTTTACACAGAGCAGATTTGAAACACTGTTTTTCTGGAATTTGCAAGTGGAGATTTCAGCCGCTTTGAGGTCAATGGTAGAAAAGGAAATATCTTCGTATAAAAACTAGACAGAATGATTCTCAGAAACTCCTTTGTGATGTGTGCGTTCAACTCACAGAGTTTAACCTTTCTTTTCACAGAGCAGTTAGGAAACACTCTGTTTGTGAAGCCTGCCAGTGGATATTCGGACCTCTTTGAGGCCTTCGTTGGAAACGGGATTTCTTCATATTATGCTAGACAGAAGATTTCTCAGTAACTTCTTTGTGTTGTGTGTATGCAACTCACAGAGTTCAACCTTCCTTTAGACAGAGCAGATTTGAAACACTCTTTTTGTGGAATTTGCAAGTGGAGATTTCAAGCGCTTCGATGCCAATGGTAGAAAAGGAAATATCTTCGTATAAAACAAGACAAACTCGTTCCCAGACACTGCGTAGTGATGTGTGTGTTTAACTCACAGAGTTTAACCTTTCTTTTCATACAGCATTCTGGAAACCCTGTGTTTGTAAAGTCTGCAAGTGGATATTTGGACCTCTTAGATGCCTTCGTTGGAAACGGGATTTCTTCATATAATGCTAGAGGGAAGAATTCTTAGTAACTTCTTTGTGTTGTGTGTATTCAACTGACAGAGTTGAACCTTCCTTTAGACAGAGCAGATTTGAAAGTCTCTTTTTGTGGAATTTGCAAGTGGAGATTTCAAGCGCTTTGAGGCCAAAAGCAGAAAAGGAAATATTTTCCTATAAAAACTCGACAGAATCTTTCTCAGAAACTGCTCTGGGATGTGTGCGTTCAACTCACAGAGTTTAACTTTTCTTTTCATTCAGCAGTTTGGAAACACTCTGTTTGGAAAGTCTGCACGTGGATATTTTGACCTCTTTGAGGCCTTCGTTGGAAACGGGTTTTTTTCATGTAAGGCTAGACAGAAGAAATCTCAGTAACTTCCTTGTGTTGTGTGTATTCAACTGACAGAGTTGAACCTTCCTTTAGACAGAGCAGATTCGAAACACTCTTTTTCTGCAATTTGCAAGTGGAGACTTCAAGCGCTTTGAGGCCAAAGGCAGAAAAGGAAATATCTTCGTATAAAAACCCGACAGAATCATTCTCAGAAACTGCTCTGTGATGTGTGCGTTCAACTCACAGAGTTTAACTTTTCTTTTCATTCAGCAGTTTGGAAACACTCTGTTTGTAAAGTCTGCAAGTGGATATCTTGGCCTCTTAGAGGCCTTCGTTGGAAGCGGGTTTTTTCATGTAAGGTTAGACAGAGGAATTCCCACTAACTTCCTTGTGTTGTGTGCATTCAACTCACAGAGTTGAATGATTCTTTACACAGAGCAGATTTGAGACACTCTTTTGGTGGAATTTGTAAGTGGAGAATTCAGCCGCTTTGATGTCAACGGTAGAAAAGGAAATATCTTCGTATAAAAACTAGACAGAATGATTCTCAGAAACTGTTTTGTGATGTGTGCTTTCAACTCACAGAGTTTAACCTTTCTTTTCAAAGAGCAGTTAGGAAACACTCTGTTTGTAAAGTCTGCAAGTGGATATTCAGACCTCTTTGAGGCCTTCGTTGGAAACGGGATTTCTTCATATTATGCTAGACAGATGAATTCTCAGTAACTTCCTTGTGTTGTGTGTATTCAACTCACAGAGTTGAACGATCCTTTACACAGAGCAGATTTGAAACACTGTTTTTCTGGAATTTGCAAGTGGAGATTTCAGCTGCTTTGAGGTCAATGGTAGAAAAGGAAATATCTTCGTATAAAAACTAGACAGAATGATTCTCAGAAACTCCTTTGTGATGTGTGCGTTCAACTCACAGAGTTTAACCTTTCTTTTCACAGAGCAGTTAGGAAACACTCTGTTTGTGAAGCCTGCCAGTGGATATTCAGACCTCTTTGAGGCCTTCGTTGGAAACGGGATTTCTTCATATTATGCTAGACAGAAGATTTCTCAGTAACTTCTTTGTGTTGTGTGTATGCAACTCACAGAGTTCAACCTTCCTTTAGACAGAGCAGATTTGAAACACTCTTTTTGTGGAATTTGCAAGTGGAGATTTCAAGCGCTTCGATGCCAATGGTAGAAAAGGAAATATCTTCGTATAAAAACAAGACAAACTCGTTCCCAGACACTGCGTAGTGATGTGTGTGTTTAACTCACAGAGTTTCACCTTTCTTTTCATACAGCATTCTGGAAACCCTCTGTTTGTAAAGTCTGCAAGTGGATATTTGGACCTCTTAGATGCCTTCGTTGGAAACGGGATTTCTTCATATAATGCTAGAGGGAAGAATTCTTAGTAACTTCTTTGTGTTGTGTGTATTCAACTGACAGAGTTGAACCTTCCTTTAGACAGAGCAGATTTGAAAGTCTCTTTTTGTGGAATTTGCAAGTGGAGATTTCAAGCGCTTTGAGGCCAAAAGCAGAAAAGGAAATATTTTCCTATAAAAACTCGACAGAATCTTTCTCAGAAACTGCTCTGGGATGTGTGCGTTCAACTCACAGAGTTTAACTTTTCTTTTCATTCAGCAGTTTGGAAACACTCTGTTTGGAAAGTCTGCACGTGGATATTTTGACCTCTTTGAGGCCTTCGTTGGAAACGGGTTTTTTTCATGTAAGGCTAGACAGAAGAAATCTCAGTAACTTCCTTGTGTTGTGTGTATTCAACTGACAGAGTTGAACCTTCCTTTAGACAGAGCAGATTCGAAACACTCTTTTTCTGCAATTTGCAAGTGGAGACTTCAAGCGCTTTGAGGCCAAAGGCAGAAAAGGAAATATCTTCGTATAAAAACCCGACAGAATCATTCTCAGAAACTGCTCTGTGATGTGTGCGTTCAACTCACAGAGTTTAACTTTTCTTTTCATTCAGCAGTTTGGAAACACTCTGTTTGTAAAGTCTGCAAGTGGATATCTTGGCCTCTTAGAGGCCTTCGTTGGAAACGGGTTTTTTCATGTAAGGTTAGACAGAGGAATTCCCAGTAACTTCCTTGTGTTGTGTGCATTCAACTCACAGAGTTGAATGATTCTTTACACAGAGCAGATTTGAGACACTCTTTTGGTGGAATTTGTAAGTGGAGAATTCAGCTGCTTTGAGGTCAACGGTAGAAAAGGAAATATCTTCGTATAAAAACTAGAAATGATTCTCAGAAACTGTTTTGTGATGTGTGCGTTCAACTCACAGAGTTTAACCTTTCTTTTCAAAGAGCAGTTAGGAAACACTCTGTTTGTAAAGTCTGCAAGTGGATATTCAGACCTACTTTAAAGCCTTCGTTGGAAACGGGATTTCATCATATTATGCTAGACAGATGAATTCTCAGTAACTTCCTTGTGTTGTGTGTATTCAACTCACAGAGTTGAACGATCCTTTACACAGAGCAGATTTGAAACACTGTTTTTCTGGAATTTGCAAGTGGAGATTTCAGCCGCTTTGAGGTCAATGGTAGAAAAGGAAATATCTTCTGTATAAAAACTAGACAGAATGATTCTCAGAAACTCCTTTGTGATGTGTGCGTTCAACTCACAGAGTTTAACCTTTCTTTTCACAGAGCAGTTAGGAAACACTCTGTTTGTGAAGCCTGCCAGTGGATATTCGGACCTCTTTGAGGCCTTCGTTGGAAACGGGATTTCTTCATATTATGCTAGACAGAAGATTTCTCAGTAACTTCTTTGTGTTGTGTGTATGCAACTCACAGAGTTCAACCTTCCTTTAGACAGAGCAGATTTGAAACACTCTTTTTGTGGAATTTGCAAGTGGAGATTTCAAGCGCTTTGAGGCCAAAAGCAGAAAAGGAAATATTTTCCTATAAAAACTAGACAGAATCTTTCTCAGAAACTGCTCTGGGATGTGTGCGTTCAACTCACAGAGTTTAACTTTTCTTTTCATTCAGCAGTTTGGAAACACTCTGTTTGGAAAGTCTGCACGTGGATATTTTGACCTCTTTGAGGCCTTCGTTGGAAACGGGTTTTTTTCATGTAAGGCTAGACAGAAGAAATCTCAGTAACTTCCTTGTGTTGTGTGTATTCAACTGACAGAGTTGAACCTTCTTTTAGACAGAGCAGATTCGAAACACTCTTTTTCTGCAATTTGCAAGTGGAGACTTCAAGCGCTTTGAGGCCAAAGGCAGAAAAGGAAATATCTTCGTATAAAAACCCGACAGAATCATTCTCAGAAACTGCTCTGTGATGTGTGCGTTCAACTCACAGAGTTTAACTTTTCTTTTCATTCAGCAGTTTGGAAACACTCTGTTTGTAAAGTCTGCAAGTGGATATCTTGGCCTCTTAGAGGCCTTCGTTGGAAACGGGTTTTTTCATGTAAGGTTAGACAGAGGAATTCCCAGTAACTTCCTTGTGTTGTGTGCATTCAACTCACAGAGTTGAATGATTCTTTACACAGAGCAGATTTGAGACACTCTTTTGGTGGAATTTGTAAGTGGAGAATTCAGCCGCTTTGAGGTCAACGGTAGAAAAGGAAATATCTTCGTATAAAAACTAGACAGAATGATTCTCAGAAACTGTTTTGTGATGTGTGCGTTCAACTCACAGAGTTTAACCTTTCTTTTCAGAGAGCAGTTAGGAAACACTCTGTTTGTAAAGTCTGCATGTGGATATTCAGACCTCTTTGAGGCCTTCGTTGGAAACGGGATTTCTTCATATTATGCTAGACAGATGAATTCTCAGTAACTTCCTTGTGTTGTGTGTATTCAACTCACAGAGTTGAACGATCCTTTACACAGAGCAGATTTGAAACACTGTTTTTCTGGAATTTGCAAGTGGAGATTTCAGCCGCTTTGAGGTCAATGGTAGAAAAGGAAATATCTTTGTATAAAAACTAGACAGAATGATTCTCAGAAACTCCTTTGTGATGTGTGCGTTCAACTCACAGAGTTTAACCTTTCTTTTCACAGAGCAGTTAGGAAACACTCTGTTTGTGAAGCCTGCCAGTGGATAATCGGACCTCTTTGAGGCCTTCGTTGGAAACGGGATTTCTTCATATTATGCTAGACAGAAGATTTCTCAGTAACTTCTTTGTGTTGTGTGTATGCAACTCACAGAGTTCAACCTTCCTTTAGACAGAGCAGATTTGAAACACTCTTTTTGTGGAATTTGCAAGTGGAGATTTCAAGCGCTTCGATGCCAATGGTAGAAAAGGAAATATCTTCGTATAAAAACAAGACAAACTCGTTCCCAGACACTGCGTAGTGATGTGTGTGTTTAACTCACAGAGTTTAACCTTTCTTTTCATACAGCATTCTGGAAACCCTCTGTTTGTACAGTCTGCAAGTGGATATTTGGACCTCTTAGATGCCTTCGTTGGAAACGGGATTTCTTCATATAATGCTAGAGGGAAGAATTCTTAGTAACTTCTTTGTGTTGTGTGTATTCAACTGACAGAGTTGAACCTTCCTTTAGACAGAGCAGATTTGAAAGTCTCTTTTTGTGGAATTTGCAAGTGGAGATTTCAAGCGCTTTGAGGCCAAAAGCAGAAAAGGAAATATTTTCCTATAAAAACTCGACAGAATCTTTCTCAGAAACTGCTCTGAGATGTGTGCGTTCAACTCACAGAGTTTAACTTTTCTTTTCATTCAGCAGTTTGGAAACACTCTGTTTGGAAAGTCTGCACGTGGATATTTTGACCTCTTTGAGGCCTTCGTTGGAAACGGGTTTTTTTCATGTAAGGCTAGACAGAAGAAATCTCAGTAACTTCCTTGTGTTGTGTGTATTCAACTGACAGAGTTGAACCTTCCTTTAGACAGAGCAGATTCGAAACACTCTTTTTCTGCAATTTGCAAGTGGAGACTTCAAGCGCTTTGAGGCCAAAGGCAGAAAAGGAAATATCTTCGTATAAAAACCCGACAGAATCATTCTCAGAAACTGCTCTGTGATGTGTGCGTTCAACTCACAGAGTTTAACTTTTCTTTTCATTCAGCAGTTTGGAAACACTCTGTTTGTAAAGTCTGCAAGTGGATATCTTGGCCTCTTAGAGGCCTTCGTTGGAAACGGGTTTTTTCATGTAAGGTTAGACAGAGGAATTCCCACTAACTTCCTTGTGTTGTGTGCATTCAACTCACAGAGTTGAATGATTCTTTACACAGAGCAGATTTGAGACACTCTTTTGGTGGAATTTGTAAGTGGAGAATTCAGCTGCTTTGATGTCAACGGTAGAAAAGGAAATAATATCTTCGTATAAAAACTAGACAGAATGATTCTCAGAAACTGTTTTGTGATGTGTGCTTTCAACTCACAGAGTTTAACCTTTCTTTTCAAAGAGCAGTTAGGAAACACTCTGTTTGTAAAGTCTGCAAGTGGATATTCAGACCTCTTTGAGGCCTTCGTTGGAAACGGGATTTCTTCATATTATGCTAGACAGATGAATTCTCAGTAACTTCCTTGTGTTGTGTGTATTCAACTCACAGAGTTGAACGATCCTTTACACAGAGCAGATTTGAAACACTGTTTTTCTGGAATTTGCAAGTGGAGATTTCAGCCGCTTTGAGGTCAATGGTAGAAAAAGAAATATCTTCGTATAAAAACTAGACAGAATGATTCTCAGAAACTCCTTTGTGATGTGTGCATTCAACTCACAGAGTTTAACCTTTCTTTTCACAGAGCAGTTAGGAAACACTCTGTTTGTGAAGCCTGCCAGTGGATATTCGGACCTCTTTGAGGCCTTCGTTGGAAACGGGATTTCTTCATATTATGCTAGACAGAAGATTTCTCAGTAACTTCTTTGTGTTGTGTGTATGCAACTCACAGAGTTCAACCTTCCTTTAGACAGAGCAGATTTGAAACACTCTTTTTGTGGAATTTGCAAGTGGAGATTTCAAGCGCTTCGATGCCAATGGTAGAAAAGGAAATATCTTCGTATAAAAACAAGACAAACTCGTTCCCAGACGCTGCGTAGTGATGTGTGTGTTTAACTCACAGAGTTTAACCTTTCTTTTCATACAGCATTCTGGAAACCCTCTGTTTGTAAAGTCTGCAAGTGGATATTTGGACCTCTTAGATGCCTTCGTTGGAAACGGGATTTCTTCATATAATGCTAGAGGGAAGAATTCTTAGTAACTTCTTTGTGTTGTGTGTATTCAACTGACAGAGTTGAACCTTCCTTTAGACAGAGCAGATTTGAAAGTCTCTTTTTGTGGAATTTGCAAGTGGAGATTTCAAGCGCTTTGAGGCCAAAAGCAGAAAAGGAAATATTTTCCTATAAAAACTAGACAGAATCATTCTCAGAAACTGCTCTGTGATGTGTGTGTTCAACTCACAGAGTTTAACTTTCTTTTCATTCAGCAGTTTGGAAACACTCTGTTTGGAAAGTCTGCACGTGGATATTTTGACCTCTTTGAGGCCTTCGTTGGAAACGGGTTTTTTCATGTAAGGCTAGACAGAAGAAATCTCAGTAACTTCCTTGTGTTGTGTGTATTCAACTGACAGAGTTGAACCTTCCTTTAGACAGAGCAGATTCGAAACACTCTTTTTCTGCAATTTGCAAGTGGAGACTTCAAGTGCTTTGAGGCCAAAGGCAGAAAAGGAAATATCTTCGTATAAAAACCCGACAGAATCTTTCTCAGAAACTGCTCTGTGATGTGTGCGTTCAACTCACATAGTTTAACTTTTCTTTTCATTCAGCAGTTTGGAAACACTCTGTTTGTAAAGTCTGCAAGTGGATATCTTGGCCTCTTAGAGGCCTTCGTTGGAAACGGGTTTTTTCATGTAAGGTTAGACAGAGGAATTCCCAGTAACTTCCTTGTGTTGTGTGCATTCAACTCACAGAGTTGAATGATTCTTTACACAGAGCAGATTTGAGACACTCTTTTGGTGGAATTTGTAAGTGGAGAATTCAGCTGCTTTGAGGTCAACGGTAGAAAAGGAAATATCTTCGTATAAAAACTAGACAGAATGATTCTCAGAAACTGTTTTGTGATGTGTGCGTTCAACTCACAGAGTTTAACCTTTCTTTTCAAAGAGCAGTTAGGAAACACTCTGTTTGTAAAGTCTGCAAGTGGATATTCAGACCTCTTTGAGGCCTTCGTTGGAAACGGGATTTCTTCATATTATGCTAGACAGATGAATTCTCAGTAACTTCCTTGTGTTGTGTGTATTCAACTCACAGAGTTGAACGATCCTTTACACAGAGCAGATTTGAAACACTGTTTTTCTGGAATTTGCAAGTGGAGATTTCAGCCGCTTTGAGGTCAATGGTAGAAAAGGAAATATCTTCGTATAAAAACTAGACAGAATGATTCTCAGAAACTCCTTTGTGATGTGTGCGTTCAACTCACAGAGTTTAACCTTTCTTTTCACAGAGCAGTTAGGAAACACTCTGTTTGTGAAGCCTGCCAGTGGATATTCGGACCTCTTTGAGGCCTTCGTTGGAAACGGGATTTCTTCATATTATGCTAGACAGAAGATTTCTCAGTAACTTCTTTGTGTTGTGTGTATGCAACTCACAGAGTTCAACCTTCCTTTAGACAGAGCAGATTTGAAACACTCTTTTTGTGGAATTTGCAAGTGGAGATTTCAAGCGCTTCGATGCCAATGGTAGAAAAGGAAATATCTTCGTATAAAAACAAGACAACTCGTTCCCAGACACTGCGTAGTGATGTGTGTGTTTAACTCACAGAGTTTCACCTTTCTTTTCATACAGCATTCTGGAAACCCTCTGTTTGTAAAGTCTGCAAGTGGATATTTGGACCTCTTAGATGCCTTCGTTGGAAACGGGATTTCTTCATATAATGCTAGAGGGAAGAATTCTTAGTAACTTCTTTGTGTTGTGTGTATTCAACTGACAGAGTTGAACCTTCCTTTAGACAGAGCAGATTTGAAAGTCTCTTTTTGTGGAATTTGCAAGTGGAGATTTCAAGCGCTTTGAGGCCAAAAGCAGAAAAGGAAATATTTTCCTATAAAAACTAGACAGAATCTTTCTCAGAAACTGCTCTGGGATGTGTGCGTTCAACTCACAGAGTTTAACTTTTCATTCAGCAGTTTGGAAACACTCTGTTTGGAAAGTCTGCACGTGGATATTTTGACCTCTTTGAGGCCTTCGTTGGAAACGGGTTTTTTCATGTAACGCTAGACAGAAGAAATCTCAGTAACTTCCTTGTGTTGTGTGTATTCAACTGACAGAGTTGAACCTTCCTTTAGACAGAGCAGATTCGAAACACTCTTTTTCTGCAATTTGCAAGTGGAGACTTCAAGCGCTTTGAGGCCAAAGGCAGAAAAGGAAATATTCTTCGTATAAAAACCCGACAGAATCATTCTCAGAAACTGCTCTGTGATGTGTGAGTTCAACTCACAGAGTTTAACTTTTCTTTTCATTCAGCAGTTTGGAAACACTCTGTTTGTAAAGTCTGCAAGTGGATATCTTGGCCTCTTAGAGGCCTTCGTTGGAAACGGGTTTTTTCATGTAAGGTTAGACAGAGGAATTCCCAGTAACTTCCTTGTGTTGTGTGCATTCAACTCACAGAGTTGAATGATTCTTTACACAGAGCAGTTTTGAGACACTCTTTTGGTGGAATTTGTAAGTGGAGAATTCAGCCGCTTTGAGGTCAACGGTAGAAAAGGAAATATCTTCGTATAAAAACTAGACAGAATGATTCTCAGAAACTGTTTTGTGATGTGTGCGTTCAACTCACAGAGTTTAACCTTTCTTTTCAAAGAGCAGTTAGGAAACACTCTGTTTGTAAAGTCTGCAAGTGGATATTCAGACCTCTTTGAGGCCTTCGTTGGAAACGGGATTTCTTCATATTATGCTAGACAGATGAATTCTCAGTAACTTCCTTGTGTTGTGTGTATTCAACTCACAGAGTTGAACGATCCTTTACACAGAGCAGATTTGAAACACTGTTTTTCTGGAATTTGCAAGTGGAGATTTCAGCCGCTTTGAGGTCAATGGTAGAAAAGGAAATATCTTCGTATAAAAACTAGACGAGAATGATTCCTCAGAAACTCCTTTGTGATGTGTGCGTTCAACTCACAGAGTTTAACCTTTCTTTTCACAGAGCAGTTAGGAAACACTCTGTTTGTGAAGCCTGCCAGTGGATATTCGGACCTCTTTGAGGCCTTCGTTGGAAACGGGATTTCTTCATATTATGCTAGACAGAAGATTTCTCAGTAACTTCTTTGTGTTGTGTGTATGCAACTTACAGAGTTCAACCTTCCTTTAGAGAGAGCATATTTGAAACACTCTTTTTGTGGAATTTGCAAGTGGAGATTTCAAGCGCTTCGATGCAAATGGTAGAAAAGGAAATATCTTCGTATAAAAACAAGACAAACTCGTTCCCAGACACTGCGTAGTGATGTGTGTGTTTAACTCACAGAGTTTAACCTTTCTTTTCATACAGCATTCTGGAAACCCTGTGTTTGTAAAGTCTGCAAGTGGATATTTGGACCTTTTAGATGCCTTCGTTGGAAACGGGATTTCTTCATATAATGCTAGAGGGAAGAATTCTTAGTAACTTCTTTGTGTTGTGTGTATTCAACTGACAGAGTTGAACCTTCCTTTAGACAGAGCAGATTTGAAAGTCTCTTTTTGTGGAATTTGCAAGTGGAGATTTCAAGCGCTTTGAGGCCAAAAGCAGAAAAGGAAATATTTTCCTATAAAAACTCGACAGAATCATTCTCAGAAACTGCTCTGTGATGTGTGCGTTCAACTCACAGAGTTTAACTTTTCTTTTCATTCAGCAGTTTGGAAACACTGTTTGGAAAGTCTGCACGTGGATATTTTGACCTCTTTGAGGCCTTCGTTGGAAACGGGTTTTTTTCATGTAAGGCTAGACAGAAGAAATCTCAGTAACTTCCTTGTGTTGTGTGTATTCAACTGACAGAGTTGAACCTTCCTTTAGACAGAGCAGATTCGAAACACTCTTTTTCTGCAATTTGCAAGTGGAGACTTCAAGCGCTTTGAGGCCAAAGGCAGAAAAGGAAATATCTTCGTATAAAAACCCGACAGAATCATTCTCAGAAACTGCTCTGTGATGTGTGCGTTCAACTCACAGAGTTTAACTTTTCTTTTCATTCAGCAGTTTGGAAACACTCTGTTTGTAAAGTCTGCAAGTGGATATCTTGGCCTCTTAGAGGCCTTCGTTGGAAACGGGTTTTTTCATGTAAGGATAGACAGAGGAATTCCCAGTAACTTCCTTGTGTTGTGTGCATTCAACTCACAGAGTTGAATGATTCTTTACACAGAGCAGATTTGAGACACTCTTTTGGTGGAATTTGTAAGTGGAGAATTCAGCCGCTTTGAGGTCAACGGTAGAAAAGGAAATATCTTCGTATAAAAACTAGACAGAATGATTCTCAGAAACTGTTTTGTGATGTGTGCGTTCAACTCACAGAGTTTAACCTTTCTTTTCAAAGAGCAGTTAGGAAACACTCTGTTTGTAAAGTCTGCAAGTGGATATTCAGACCTCTTTGAGGCCTTCGTTGGAAACGAGATTTCTTCATATTATGCTAGACAGATGAATTCTCAGTAACTTCCTTGTGTTGTGTGTATTCAACTCACAGAGTTAAACGATCCTTTACACAGAGCAGATTTGAAACACTGTTTTTCTGGAATTTGCAAGTGGAGATTTCAGCCGCTTTGAGGTCAATGGTAGAAAAGGAAATATCTTCGTATAAAAACTAGACAGAATGATTCTCAGAAACTCCTTTGTGATGTGTGCGTTCAACTCACAGAGTTTAACCTTTCTTTTCACAGAGCAGTTAGGAAACACTCTGTTTGTGAAGCCTGCCAGTGGATATTCGGACCTCTTTGAGGCCTTCGTTGGAAACGGGATTTCTTCATATTATGCTAGTCAGAAGATTTCTCAGTAACTTCTTTGTGTTGTGTGTATGCAACTCACAGAGTTCAACCTTCCTTTAGACAGAGCAGATTTGAAACACTCTTTTTGTGGAATTTGCAAGTGGAGATTTCAAGCGCTTCGATGCCAATGGTAGAAAAGGAAATATCTTCGTATAAAAACAAGACAAACTCATTCCCAGACACTGCGTAGTGATGTGTGTGTTTAACTCACAGAGTTTAACCTTTCTTTTCATACAGCATTCTGGAAACCCTCTGTTTGTAAAGTCTGCAAGTGGATATTTGGACCTCTTAGATGCCTTCGTTGGAAACGGGATTTCTTCATATAATGCTAGAGGGAAGAATTCTTAGTAACTTCTTTGTGTTGTGTGTATTCAACTGACAGAGTTGAACCTTCCTTTAGACAGAGCAGATTTGAAAGTCTCTTTTTGTGGAATTTGCAAGTGGAGATTTCAAGCGCTTTGAGGCCAAAAGCAGAAAAGGAAATATTTTCCTATAAAAACTAGACAGAATCTTTCTCAGAAACTGCTCTGGGATGTGTGCGTTCAACTCACAGAGTTTAACTTTTCTTTTCATTCAGCAGTTTGGAAACACTCTGTTTGGAAAGTCTGCACGTGGATATTTTGACCTCTTTGAGGCCTTCGTTGGAAACGGGTGTTTTTCATGTAAGGCTAGACAGAAGAAATCTCAGTAACTTCCTTGTGTTGTGTGTATTCAACTGACAGAGTTGAACCTTCCTTTAGACAGAGCAGATTCGAAACACTCTTTTTCTGCAATTTGCAAGTGGAGACTTCAAGCGCTTTGAGGCCAAAGGCAGAAAAGGATATATCTTCGTATAAAAACCCGACAGAATCATTCTCAGAAACTGCTCTGTGATGTGTGCGTTCAACTCACAGAGTTTAACTTTTCTTTTCATTCAGCAGTTTGGAAACACTCTGTTTGAAAAGTCTGCAAGTGGATATCTTGGCCTCTTAGAGGCCTTCGTTGGAAACGGGTTTTTTCATGTAAGGTTAGACAGAGGAATTCCCAGTAACTTCCTTGTGTTGTGTGCATTCAACTCACAGAGTTGAATGATTCTTTACACAGAGCAGATTTGAGACACTCTTTGGGTGGAATTTGTAAGTGGAGAATTCAGCCGCTTTGAGGTCAACGGTAGAAAAGGAAATATCTTCGTATAAAAACTAGACAGAATGATTCTCAGAAACTGTTTTGTGATGTGTGCGTTCAACTCACAGAGTTTAACCTTTCTTTTCAAAGAGCAGTTAGGAAACACTCTGTAAAGTCTGCAAGTGGATATTCAGACCTCTTTGAGGCCTTCGTTGGAAACGGGATTTCTTCATATAATGCTAGAGGGAAGAATTCTTAGTAACTTCTTTGTGTTGTGTGTATTGAACTGACAGAGTTGAACCTTCCTTTAGACAGAGCAGATTTGAAAGTCTCTTTTTGTGGAATTTGCAAGTGGAGATTTCAAGCGCTTTGAGGCCAAAAGCAGAAAAGGAAATATTTTCCTATAAAAACTAGAGAGAATCATTCTCAGAAACTGCTCTGTGATTTGTGTGTTCAACTCACAGAGTTTAACTTTCTTTTCATTCAGCAGTTTGGAAACACTCTGTTTGGAAAGTCTGCACGTGGATATTTTGACCTCTTAGAGGCCTTCGTTGGAAACGGGTTTTTTTCATGTAAGGCTAGACAGAAGAAATCTCAGTAACTTCCTTGTGTTGTGTGTATTCAACTGACAGAGTTGAACCTTCCTTTAGACAGAGCAGATTCGAAACGCTCTTTTTCTGCAATTTGCAAGTGGAGACTTCAAGCGCTTTGAGGCCAAAGGCAGAAAAGGAAATATCTTCGTATAAAAACCCGACAGAATCATTCTCAGAAACTGCTCTGTGATGTGTGCGTTCAACTCACAGAGTTTAACTTTTCTTTTCATTCAGCAGTTTGGAAACACTCTGTTTGTAAAGTCTGCAAGTGGATATCTTGGCCTCTTAGAGGCCTTCGTTGGAAACGGGTTTTTTCATGTAAGGTTAGACAGAGGAATTCCCAGTAACTTCCTTGTGTTGTGTGCATTCAACTCACAGAGTTGAATGATTCTTTACACAGAGCAGATTTGAGACACTCTTTTGGTGGAATTTGTAAGTGGAGAATTCAGCCGCTTTGAGGTCAACGGTAGAAAAGGAAATATCTTCGTATAAAAACTAGACAGAATGATTCTCAGAAACTGTTTTGTGATGTGTGCGTTCAACTCACAGAGTTTAACCTTTCTTTTCAAAGAGCAGTTAGGAAACACTCTGTTTGTAAAGTCTGCAAGTGGATATTCAGACCTCTTTGAGGCCTTCGTTGGAAACGGGATTTCTTCATATTATGCTAGACAGATGAATTCTCAGTAACTTCCTTGTGTTGTGTGTATTCAACTCACAGAGTTAAACGATCCTTTACACAGAGCAGATTTGAAACACTGTTTTTCTGGAATTTGCAAGTGGAGATTTCAGCCGCTTTGAGGTCAATGGTAGAAAAGGAAATATCTTCGTATAAAAACTAGACAGAATGATTCTCAGAAACTCCTTTGTGATGTGTGCGTTCAACTCACAGAGTTTAACCTTTCTTTTCACAGAGCAGTTAGGAAACACTCTGTTTGTGAAGCCTGCCAGTGGATATTCGGACCTCTTTGAGGCCTTCGTTGGAAACGGGATTTCTTCATATTATGCTAGACAGAAGATTTCTCAGTAACTTCTTTGTGTTGTGTGTATGCAACTCACAGAGTTCAACCTTCCTTTAGACAGAGCAGATTTGAAACACTCTTTTTGTGGAATTTGCAAGTGGAGATTTCAAGCGCTTCGATGCCAATGGTAGAAAAGGAAATATCTTCGTATAAAAACAAGACAAACTCGTTCCCAGACACTGCGTAGTGATGTGTGTGTTTAACTCACAGAGTTTAACCTTTCTTTTCATACAGCATTCTGGAAACCCTCTGTTTGTAAAGTCTGCAAGTGGATATTTGGACCTCTTAGATGCCTTCGTTGGAAACGGGATTTCTTCATATAATGCTAGAGGGAAGAATTCTTAGTAACTTCTTTGTGTTGTGTGTATTCAACTGACAGAGTTGAACCTTCCTTTAGACAGAGCAGATTTGAAAGTCTCTTTTTGTGGAATTTGCAAGTGGAGATTTCAAGCGCTTTGAGGCCAAAAGCAGAAAAGGAAATATTTTCCTATAAAAACTCGACAGAATCTTTCTCAGAAACTGCTCTGGGATGTGTGCGTTCAACTCACAGAGTTTAACTTTTCTTTTCATTCAGCAGTTTGGAAACACTCTGTTTGGAAAGTCTGCACGTGGATATTTTGACCTCTTTGAGGCCTTCGTTGGAAACGGGTTTTTTTCATGTAAGGCTAGACAGAAGAAATCTCAGTAACTTCCTTGTGTTGTGTGTATTCAACTGACAGAGTTGAACCTTCCTTTAGACAGAGCAGATTCGAAACACTCTTTTTCTGCAATTTGCAAGTGGAGACTTCAAGCGCTTTGAGGCCAAAGGCAGAAAAGGAAATATCTTCGTATAAAAACCCGACAGAATCATTCTCAGAAACTGCTCTGTGATGTGTGCGTTCAACTCACAGAGTTTAACTTTTCTTTTCATTCAGCAGTTTGGAAACACTCTGTTTGTAAAGTCTGCAAGTGGATATCTTGGCCTCTTAGAGGCCTTCGTTGGAAACGGGTTTTTTCATGTAAGGTTAGACAGAGGAATTCCCAGTAACTTCCTTGTGTTGTGTGCATTCAACTCACAGAGTTGAATGATTCTTTACACAGAGCAGATTTGAGACACTCTTTTGGTGGAATTTGTAAGTGGAGAATTCAGCTGCTTTGAGGTCAACGGTAGAAAAGGAAATATCTTCATATAAAAACTAGACAGAATGATTCTCAGAAACTGTTTTGTGATGTGTGCGTTCAACTCACAGAGTTTAACCTTTCTTTTCAAAGAGCAGTTAGGAAACACTCTGTTTGTAAAGTCTGCAAGTGGATATTCAGACCTCTTTGAGGCCTTCGTTGGAAACGGGATTTCTTCATATTATGCTAGACAGATGAATTCTCAGTAACTTCCCTTGTGTTGTGTGTATTCAACTCACAGAGTTGAACGATCCTTTACACAGAGCAGATTTGAAACACTGTTTTTCTGGAATTTGCAAGTGGAGATTTCAGCCGCTTTGAGGTCAATGGTAGAAAAGGAAATATCTTCGTATAAAAACTAGACAGAATGATTCTCAGAAACTCCTTTGTGATGTGTGCGTTCAACTCACAGAGTTTAACCTTTCTTTTCACAGAGCAGTTAGGAAACACTCTGTTTGTGAAGCCTGCCAGTGGATATTCGGACCTCTTTGAGGCCTTCGTTGGAAACGGGATTTCTTCATATTATGCTAGACAGAAGATTTCTCAGTAACTTCTTTGTGTTGTGTGTATGCAACTCACAGAGTTCAACCTTCCTTTAGACAGAGCAGATTTGAAACACTCTTTTTGTGGAATTTGCAAGTGGAGATTTCAAGCGCTTCGATGCCAATGGTAGAAAAGGAAATATCTTCGTATAAAAACAAGACAAACTCGTTCCCAGACACTGCGTAGTGATGTGTGTGTTTAACTCACAGAGTTTCACCTTTCTTTTCATACAGCATTCTGGAAACCCTCTGTTTGTAAAGTCTGCAAGTGGATATTTGGACCTCTTAGATGCCTTCGTTGGAAACGGGATTTCTTCATATAATGCTAGAGGGAAGAATTCTTAGTAACTTCTTTGTGTTGTGTGTATTCAACTGACAGAGTTGAACCTTCCTTTAGACAGAGCAGATTTGAAAGTCTCTTTTTGTGGAATTTGCAAGTGGAGATTTCAAGCGCTTTGAGGCCAAAAGCAGAAAAGGAAATATTTTCCTATAAAAACTAGACAGAATCTTTCTCAGAAACTGCTCTGGGATGTGTGCGTTCAACTCACAGAGTTTAACTTTTCTTTTCATTCAGCAGTTTGGAAACACTCTGTTTGGAAAGTCTGCACGTGGATATTTTGACCTCTTTGAGGCCTTCGTTGGAAACGGGTTTTTTTCATGTAAGGCTAGACAGAAGAAATCTCAGTAACTTCCTTGTGTTGTGTGTATTCAACTGACAGAGTTGAACCTTCCTTTAGACAGAGCAGATTCGAAACACTCTTTTTCTGCAATTTGCAAGTGGAGACTTCAAGCGCTTTGAGGCCAAAGGCAGAAAAGGAAATATCTTCGTATAAAAACCCGACAGAATCATTCTCAGAAACTGCTCTGTGATGTGTGCGTTCAACTCACAGAGTTTAACTTTTCTTTTCATTCAGCAGTTTGGAAACACTCTGTTTGTAAAGTCTGCAAGTGGATATCTTGGCCTCTTAGAGGCCTTCGTTGGAAACGGGTTTTTTCATGTAAGGTTAGACAGAGGAATTCCCAGTAACTTCCTTGTGTTGTGTGCATTCAACTCACAGAGTTGAATGATTCTTTACACAGAGCAGATTTGAGACACTCTTTTGGTGGAATTTGTTAGTGGAGAATTCAGCCGCTTTGAGGTCAACGGTAGAAAAGGAAATATCTTCGTATAAAAACTAGACAGAATGATTCTCAGAAACTGTTTTGTGATGTGTGCGTTCAACTCACAGAGTTTAACCTTTCTTTTCAAAGATCAGTTAGGAAACACTCTGTTTGTAAAGTCTGCAAGTGGATATTCAGACCTCTTTGAGGCCTTCGTTGGAAACGGGATTTCTTCATATTATGCTAGACAGATGAATTCTCAGTAACTTCCTTGTGTTGTGTGTATTCAACTCACAGAGTTGAACGATCCTTTACACAGAGCAGATTTGAAACACTGTTTTTCTGGAATTTGCAAGTGGAGATTTCAGCCGCTTTGAGGTCAATGGTAGAAAAGGAAATATCTTCGTATAAAAACTAGACAGAATGATTCTCAGAAACTCCTTTGTGATGTGTGCGTTCAACTCACAGAGTTTAACCTTTCTTTTCACAGAGCAGTTAGGAAACACTCTGTTTGTGAAGCCTGCCAGTGGATATTCGGACCTCTTTGAGGCCTTCGTTGGAAACGGGATTTCTTCATATTATGCTAGACAGAAGATTTCTCAGTAACTTCTTTGTGTTGTGTGTATGCAACTCACAGAGTTCAACCTTCCTTTAGAGAGAGCATATTTGAAACACTCTTTTTGTGGAATTTGCAAGTGGAGATTTCAAGCGCTTCGATGCCAATGGTAGAAAAGGAAATATCTTCGTATAAAAACGAGACAAA